>NC_000003.12:132038907-132190422 GCF_000001405.40 Homo sapiens | reverse complement strand
AAAAAAATAGTAGATATGTATAAAAGCATTTTGAATATCTGACTCCTGTAAAGGGTTATAAATTGCTTAGCAGGGTTAAAAAATACATTCTCTTTGGGGAAACCTTACATTAGACATGCTGTGAAATTAAGACTTTTAGTGACATAAGAAAAACTTAAAAGTAGCTATAGAACATAGGTTTATTACATGTTGATAGACGTTCTAGAATGTACATTTTGAGACAATTCACAGTAATTATTCCTTATGTTTTCTTATTCATTATCTTAGAATTAAGAGACTATTTTTGAATTTGAAAGCTATGTAAAAAAGAGTGAGGTTCCCATTGTTTTTCATGTACCCTAATTATTCCAGAGAAAGTCAGCCAGGGGCTAAGAATATTTCATAAAAATAACCAGAAATCAGTTTGTTCTTATCTCTGCCCCCACTTGCCTAGTGGGACGTTGGTTTCCTCCAAAGGGTCCTGAAAGTCCCTGCAGCAGATCTCAAACGTGCTCTCCACTCCCCTGCCAAACCTGCTTTTAGCCTTTTTCCTCTCATGCTCTGATCTGCTGTGGAGATTTCTTCCAGCCCTGCCCTGCCACTGCCTGATGGAGTGGTTGCTGTAGAAGGCTGTTATGCCTGTCCAAAGGCTGCTGGCACTGACCTCATGTGTCCTGTAATGTCACCACAGAACCTGCTGCTGCTAATGTCCCCTTGATGGCCCAGGGAGATTATAAACAAACAAAGCTATATTTACTAACTTGTTTACTGCAGCTCTCTTTCTCCATCATTTAGACTCCAGTCTTCAGAGGTTAGGGAAAAATCTGAGAGAGAATCGCATCCTCTTCTCAGGGTCCTTCCCCCCACCCCTCTAAGCCTGGGCCCCTGTCCTTGAATCACACCCGGCCCGCCTTTTCCCCTGGGCCCTAGTATTCTTCAGACTTGTCCTGACAGCCTAAATCCCAAGGTGAACGCAATTTGGAACTATTCTTAGACCCCTGCTGCTCTATTAATAAAGCCCCAGTTGGCAATTAATTTTAAAAATCAAGCGGATCTGTTTATTTGGAAAACAACCCACCTTACAAAGAAGTTGACAGAGTTTCTAATTCCAATAGATCCTTATAATTCCCTATCAGGAAGGCTCCCAAACAGTGCACCCTGGATTGATTTTACATGAGATGCATCTCACCATGGGTTCTGGAGTCTACCTGGATTTGAATCTTATCTCTGCCATTGATTTACCTGTGCAACCTGGGAAAGGTGCTTAAGTTCTATGGAATTTATTTGTTTATAAAATAGGGATTAAGAAACCTTCTTTTCTATTTTTTAATGTCTGAAAACCATTGTTTTATAGATTTTCTCAGTTTTAAATACAGTAGACTTTATTTTTGAGAACAGTTTTAGATTTTCAGAAAAGTCGAGGAGGTAGTATAAAGTTCCCACATACCCCATACCATTTTCTCTTTTATCAATATCTTACATTAGGATGGTACATTTGTCATAATTAATGAATCAATATTGACACATTATTATTAAGTAAAGTCCATAGTTAATTTTATTTCTTTAGTTTTCCCCTAATGTCCCTTTTCTTCTTTAGGAGCCTATCCAAGATGCCGCATCACATTTAGTTGTGATGTCTCTCTAGGGTCCTCTTGGCTGTGGCAGTGTTTTGGACTTTCCTAGGTTCTGATAACCTTGACATTTCTCTTCTTCTTCTTCTTCTTTTTTTAAAATATCTTCTTTGTAGGTTGGTTGTGAGCACTAATTGCTATATTTGAAACGTTTAATAGAGAATATGGCCCATAATGAGACCTTAAAATAACTTGAAAGAAGACAAAGACCATTTTAACCTATAATAATGAGGGAGGGCTTTATTTTTGTGAATTCAAAGGAAGGACAGAAAATGGGATGGATACCTCAAGTGTACTTTAAAATGTAAAATTTTGGCTTTTAATTAATATTTGTCACAAGCAATTCATTTTCCTAGTACAAAGAATGTGAGGAGGATATTACTAGTTGAGGTGGGACAAATTAGCTAGCTGCTGTACCTTTAACCTGGGAGGTACCCATCTTAGGGTTGACAGGTGCAGCAGATAAAAATACAGGACACCAAATGAGATTTACATTTCAGGGAAACAACAAATAATCTGTTAAGATAAATATTTCTGAAATGTTGCATGGGCGTCCTGTATTTCATTTGGCAACTCTAATCCTTCTTTCTCGCCTTGGGAGATTCTGGCACCATGTGACTTTCTGCTCTGGACATTTTACCAGATGTCTTGATGATTGACTGTGTCTCCCATGTCCACGTCAAAAGATCAGTAACAGTTACCCGGATTCATATATCATGACAAAGAAAAGCAAAACCTTCTAAAACTAAACTCTGGAGTGTGGGTTATGAGCCTGCTCTGTTTAATAGATGAGGAGATACTGGCTGGAGGGCTTTTACCAGGCTCAAACCTTGAGCATCATCATAATTCTTAGTGCTTAAAAGGGCAGCTCAGAATATTCAGCACCTGCCTTTGTGGCTGAAACCAGCCCCAGGAAACACTTGATAAATAGTCATAGTTATTAATATTTGCCCCTATATCACCTAGTTCCACTGATCACCTGTAGCCATCTGTTCTAGTTCTGCTGTGTGAGAAGCTTTGATGGAAATGCCCATTAATCACAGCATCACAGCTGGCCTTTTGAGGATTGATGGCAATTAGTTGACAATATTTATTTGAGAAGCTGTATTACTTTGTGATTATATTACAGAACCATGAGTAAATCATGCTCCTCCCTACCCCTTTTCATTAATAATAAGAGCCACAGAGACATGCAGAAATTGCCACCATGTCTTAATTATCTCTCTAGGAAGCTACTTTTCCTGGACAGCAGGAACATGTTGGGAGGGGGCTGGGCAACCTTAGTCCTGGAAATTGCTCCTAATATTTCCTAGGAACATGACAGTTTGGAGCTTCCTTGGGGCCTTTAAGTGGCCACCTGCCTTCCCATAGTAATAGTAGATCCTAAGTGGGCAAGCTAGAATAATTAATAATAATTCTTAGGGGTGGGGTTATGGAGATATTGGCCAAAAGACAAGAGAAATAAGTTTAAGAGGTCTATTGTACAACTGTACAATAAATGTGATTATAGTTAATAACCTGTATTGTGCACTTAAAAATTTCTAACACAGTAAATATTGTTTTCATCACAAAATAAGTATGTAATACGTTATAATTAACATATTACAACATAATCAATTAGCTCATTATAATCAAGCTAATGCTTGATTTAGCCAGTTCAAAATATATACATTAATCAAAACATGATGTTATATACCATAAATAGATATAATCTCCATTGGTCAATTAGAAGATAAGTACTTCGAACACCTCACTGATGGAAGTTTGCAAAAGTCAATAATAAAAATTTGCACTTGTAGGGGTCCTTGCATGACTCCTTCATGCATTTTATCCCTTTGTGGCTTCATAGCAATTGCTGTAATCCCCATTGCACAGATGAGCTAAAGTGTGAGGATTTCCTGAAGATAATTAAACTTTTAGGATTGGAGTTTAGACCACCTGACTATGAAACCAGGCCACATTCTCTCTGATGTCCCTGACTTAGTTTTGTGTCCACTTTCTAGGGAGAGAAGTTTGTTTCTTCAGCACTTGAAGAACAATTTTATGATCTCAGAAGAAGGTGTCATTCCTATTTGGCCTGATATTTAGGTTAAGGCATTATGGAAATCAGCAGATATTACAAATTATCTACTCCCTGAAGCCAGTTTTTAAACAACTACCAGCACACCATTGCTAACCCACAAAACAGGGCTTATCTCTGCTCTCAGTCTATATAGTTATTATTTTCTAAAAGAACTCTTTGCTAAATTTGCACTGTTCAATATGGGAGCAACAGGCACATACGTCCATTGAACACTTGAAACATGGCTAGTCCAGATCGAGATGTGCTGTAAGTGTAAAAAACACACTGGATTTTCAAAGACTTAATACAAAAAATGCAAAATAGTTCATTAATAATTTTTAAAATGTTAATTACACGTTGAGGTAATATTTTGGATATACTTAAATAAAATAGAGTGTTAAGGCTAAGTTCATGGTTTATTTGTTTTTTTTCTTACTGTGGCTTCCAGAAAATGTTAAATTATATACATGGCTCACATTATATAGCTACTGGATAACAGTGGTTAGGCTATAAGCTTCCTGATGACAGAAACCATGTTTCCTCAGTAACTAGCACCCCATGTCTGCTACATAGTAGGTACTCAATAAATATGTGTTGACTAAATGTATGGAAAGGGGTGGAGGAAAGAAGGTGGCTATATAGGCACCTTATATGGGGCCTTATAACCCATTGAAAAGTATAACTGTTAGATTTGGAAATGTATATATAGAACTCATACATGCAGACCAAGTTTTCTGCCAGAGGTGTAACACCATCTGTGGTCTCCTTTTAGAGGGCTCCCTGCTTCTGTAAGAAAAGATTTAGTGACTGAAAACTTAGCACCTTAAGAGGGCATCTGCCCCTGCCCGTGCTCCAACAATCCCCACTGGATAGCCTTGTGCACACACACACACACACACACACACCCCAGCAGCTGCTTCTTTCTTGGTGAGTAGTAACTCCAGGTTCTACCTGACTTCCTTTTTCTTGTTGGCCTCCCTCCAGGATCCTCTCTCTTTGCCCAGCTCCCATAGGTTTGGTAATGTATTAGCATGGTCTTCTGGGATTTTGAATTAGTTAATTCCCAAGGCAGTACTGCCCCCTTAGTTGCTCCCTCAGCTTCAAATATTTCAGCTCTCAAATAAGGGAAGGGTACTGTTTGACACCTAGACCAAGCTTTGTAGGTAAAGACCATTGGCTTAAGGCGGCATCCAGGGATACTACTCAGAAAGAGGAACAAGGACAGCATACCTTCTCCATTGTCAAATGGCATTTATGCATGGAAATGCTTCCCTCCTATGGAATTGAATCTGTCTCCCAGAAACTTCCACCCATTAGACTATCTTCCTTTTCTTCCTACTCAACCTCTCATCATTTAATAAAAGTAGTCAATATTTATAGAAACATTTCCATGAGCCATTGGCTCTCTTAAGACTCTTATATCACTAATCTTATTTAATCCTCACAACAACCTTATGAGGTTGTTAGTATTATTAATTCCATTATAAGGATGAAAGAATTGAAGTTTAGAGAAGTTAAGTAAACTTCCCAAGGTCATCCAGAAAGAGTGGCAGAACTGGGATCGACTCAAGTTCTGATTTGAAAGTCTATTAGCTGCATTTCTATACTGTGTTTTTTTTTGGATCAGCTAATTCTACATTCTGAACTTCTCAGTCTCTTCACGGCTTCCTTCACAAATCTCTTCCTGCTTTCATATGATAATCTTTCAAGAGTTTGAAGACCGAAGTCTCTTCCTCCCTAAATACTAGTCATAAGTCATCTATTTTTTTCAGAGTAGTCATTCTTATTGTGTTTCCTCATCTGGTTCTGGCTGTCTGACCAGTCCTTACACCTTAGCTCAATATTTGTCATGTACCATTTTAGAATTAGTTAGTATAGAGGACAGGTTGGTATATGAGAAAGTAACAACATATGCTCTTAAATAATTTTCACATATACTGTATCTTATTTGAGTCTAACAACAATCTTGAGAGATAGTCTTAATATTTTTAGATTTGATCACAGTGGATGAGAAATCAAGTGACTTATCCAAGGTTACACAGAATGAATTAAATAGAGCTTTAAACTTAGATCTTCCTATGAAAAGTTCATCTTTCCTTTTACTTTAAGTACACTAATAAATGATGTTGAGATCCTTATGCATATCAGCACATTGCTCCCCTGGGACCTTGGACTCATGAACTCCTGCACCAGAGCTCCTTGGAAAGCCTGTAAGACAACTTTGACAGCCCGATTCACTCTTTAAGAAATATTACAAAGGCTTTGCCATTTATTTATAAAGATGCAAGTTTTTGAAAGAGCAACTGCATCTTTCTAAAAAGGCTCACCTTTGGTGGAGAAGGTCACTTGGATGGCTCAGAAAAGAGAAATGAGACTGAAGGAAACCATTACAAATGCTGGATGAAAACGTATAGCCATGAAGGCTCCTGGTGGAGAACCTTATTTGTAAAGTACCTGTTATAGTGTGGGCTCTCAATAATTATCCATTTGAAGGACGGTGTTCACAGAGCCTTATAAAAGTGAAGACTAACCTTTCTCTGGATAAGGAGCAATCAAAGCCTAATAAGTTGAGATCATTTCTCAAACCTTAGAAATATTTAGGGACATAGCTGAAGCTAGAGCTCAGATTTACTTATTTGAGCCAGCTCTGGCTTTGGTTATAGCTTATACTCCAGCAGAACTCCTTAGAAAGACCTTTTGAAGGGTTTGTAAATGGTTGCCGTGGTAACAAGGTTCCACAGGCACCATTGGGATGCTGGTAGTGGTGGTGAAGCTGTAATCAGTACATTTGACCATTGCTCCTAGTAACACAGCTGCCTTATTTTTCCATGGGAAAGGACTGGGGTATGCTCAGCAGCTAACAGGTTCAGATAGAAATGAAACAGCTCCATGAAAGGTATCTATAAAACCACCACTGACTTACATCAATAGGCCCATCTACTAAGTTTTCAGCACTTTCAGAAGTAGTCTTTAGTGGCTCTCTGCCACTAGAGTCACGATACAGTTAATTAGCATTATTTTCGCTGTTAGATGAGTTCTCACAACTTAAGCTAGTTTGCAGCCCGTTTTGCCTCCACTAATTCACTGGGAAACAGTAGTACAATTGTTCCTGGATGGTAATGTGAATACAGGTTGCCCTGATTTTATATCCCACTTAACCACAATGCATGTATATTGATAAGCATAATGGATGCCAATATACTGCTTTGCAGTTTACCAAGTACTTTTATAATCATTATCTTATTTCATCCACACAAGAGCCCTGGGAAGTATTTATTACCCACATTTTATAGATGAAGAGAAGAATTGAGCCTCAGAAAATGGAAATGTCTTATTAAAAATCACATGGCTTGTAGTGAAGGGGCTGGGACACGATTTTAGGTCTTTTCAATTGCAAAACTCTGTACTTACTACTTCACTGTAGTGCAGTACAAGGCCCTTTGCATGTTGTCTCTGCCTTTTTCTTTCTGTTCTTTCAGAGCCATCGAATCCTCTTTATTACACGCATTGTGGAACAATTTGCCTAGTTCTCCAACCACCATTCTGCTTATCAAATGGCTGCCTTTGGGTTCTCATCCAGAACTCTCCTTTAGCTCATTGTCTCCCTGGAAAGTGTTTATTCATTTAAAAAACTCAAGTAAAATATCACCTCCTCTACAAGACATTTTTATAGCCTCTTGTCTTTATTACTAAAAGACTCGTTATTCTAATGGCATTTGTTTTCCCATGTGTCTCTCCCATTAGGCTATGAACAGATTGTGGGTAGGACCTAGTGCTCTTTTCTCTTGTATTGCCAGGACCCACTTTAGCTTCTAGAAACAAATAGAAATGGAATAAATACCTTTAGAAATGAAAGGCCCACATGTACTTCTAATTATTAAACATAATTCAGTTTCATTTGATTTATGTCTGTGTCATTCCTTTCTTTGCACTGACATGTCCTTGCAGAGGGTGATCTGTGTGGCCTCTCCTGGTGGCAAGGCATTCCATGGAAGTGGTTTACAAGAATACTATGAAGTATATCATGAAGGCACATTTGAATTTCCATGTGATTATCACATGGAGATTCCTTTTCCTCAGTGGCCAAGATTATTGATATTTATTATTGCTTCCCACTCTTCAGTTTTCAGTTTATAGCTCCTAATATTTTTTTTTAAGAAATGTGTCTTAAAATCACTGAGGACAGCATTCCATTTACAACCATTGTTACTTGGAAAAATTTGAAAAATAACTTGTTCTTGGTTCAATAATGCTGAGCAATTTACAGGTTTCTCATCCCTTTATAAGAATACTAGAAACAATTCATTTTTTTCTCAGTAAAAACAAGTTTTTCAGTTCAGTCATTGTGAATCCCATACTTGTTCTTCTCAGTGAAGATAATGGACTGAGATAACACCACTTTTCCTGAATGAGAATAAGAGAATCACAGGCAAGTTGCCATTGGATTACTACAGCTTTGATTTGGCTAGAGTTTTCGTAGCTCTCCTCCTTTATATATGATTATAAAAAATTTATGTTTTCTCATTTAAAAGTGTCTTTTAGCCAACTACCTGCTAAGAATCAGAATATAGGAGATTTAAATATCATGAAACAATTAGTGAATGCTGCAGACATTATGCATTACCTTCCTTTAGTCCTTGCTAATAGGACCACAGTATAATTCCTGGCAGCAATATGTCCAGTTTCAATGGAACACTTAGGATTTGTGTAAACATATTATGGCTTTCTGGCTCTCCTTTGCCAGATAATTGCTATCTCTGCCTCCTTGGAAGCTAGGGATAGAACTGGAATGTCAATGTCCTAAAGGAAAAATTCTCTAACTTGGCTGTTCCCACCCCTATTGCTTCTTGCCTTGGGACCTTCAAGTGACAAGTCTATGATAAAACACTGAATCCTTCGGAAGGTGGAGAAAAGGATAGTAGTTACTGAATTTTTGAAGACACATTTCACCTGCTGAGCCACCCATAGATTTTTTTACCTCTGGGTTTTTAAACAGTAAACCATGGATGTCTTTTAAAGTTGAAGCTACTGGCTGTTAGACTTTTTGTTATTTGTAGCCTAATGCACACTGACTGATGTAATAAAAGTGAACATCATATTTCCACATCTGTAACAGCCACAGACTCTAACCCAGGGTAAGGACAAGTCTCTGTCAGATTATGAGGTGCTCCTCTACATTCTCTGCTTAAGTATGTGCCACCCATTTATTTATAAATTCAGCCTACATTCATTTGCTTTTAATACGTGTTCTTTTCTCTGCCATCTAGGATCTTCTGAGCATTTTGTTTAATATTTCCAGATAACAGTGAGTACTAGGTGAGCCTATTTCTATCCCAGCATTATAATGAATACTTTACTTTTCAGACTGTATGACTATCTCTTTGGTCTAAAGCAGTACTATCTAATAGAAATATAATGAGGGTGACATGTAATTTTTCTAAAAGGAGAAAAATACATGTACATTACAATACAACAGTAATATCTTATCCAATGCAATGGTTAGAGTGAAACGTAATCCTACCAAACAATAAAGTTGTGTTTAATGGAAAAAATATTTTGCATTGCTTCAGTTTTAAAATGAAAATTAAATAAAATTAAAATTGTAGTTCCTCCATTGCACCGGCCACATTTCAAGGGCTCAATAGCTACATGTGGCTACTGGCTACTGTATTAGATAGGTCAGACCTATTCTCTAAACTCCTTGAGGGCAGGAACTGTGTTCTATCTAGGTTTTACCTTAGTTACTGCTTCTTCTGGAACCCTTTTCAGGTACTCCAAGATGAGGTTAAGTGCACCTGTTATGTGCTCCTACAGCCCTCTGTGCTAACTTCTATGGTGGGGTGCTTATACAGCCTGTGTTGCAATTACTTATTTCCTTGCAATTACGTTCATTTTCTGAAGATCTGTGTCTGATTCTGTGCACTGGAGTCTGCCCTACTCCCTCAGTCTGGTTGGTGCTAGGGCCTGTCTCGGACTTGCTGAGTTTCTTCTGCCTCCATCAGCAACTGGTTGTATGATCAGCCTCACTGCAGAGGCAATGACTCCACTGGCTTCCTGAGCCTGGGCTCCCCCTGGAGTGCTTCATCATGGCTTATGCCTTATCTTGATTTACATGTTGTGGTCTCCTGATATAGACTGGCCCAAAACCATGCTTGTACAGTCTTGGGATTTCCTGTTTCACCTGCCAGACTAGATTTCCTCCCAAGGCAACCTCAATTTACAATTGTTTGGGTTGTAAGCAACAGGGCACTCCTCCAGGGGATATTTTCTTGTAGTGACTCTAGATGTGAATAGTTATTTTGACAACATTCCAGCAGATGGCAGTAAAGTGTTTTGAGCAAGGGTTACCTTTTTCTAATTTGCACAAGGTCCCCGAATAAACTAGCGTCTGTGCTGCCAGTAGAGCCCACCTGTAAACCTAGCAGAAGATCTAGTTGCAGCTTCTTGCTCCTTTCCTCTCACCCCTTATCCTTGTAGTTAATCACACCTGGCCAGGTATAGAGGAGATGTAGTAAATTGGAAAAGCCTCATATTTGGGGAATGAGATACATTTCTTTAATCTCATTTCCTGTTGCCAAGCATCACAGGATACTGCTGCAGGGACCACCTCCAGCTTGCCTCAGTCCTTGTACTCTGCTTTCATTCCCTTTCTTTCTGTAGTCATGTGTAGACAATGCCTACACTCTAGGATGATTCTGATTAAGCTGCTTGTATGGAGCATCAGTTTCTTTATGGGCACCAATTGTGTTTATCTCTACAGATTGGAGGAACATTCTGTACAGGATTTGTTTTTTAAGAAATCCATTTAAAACCATTAGAAGGAAAGAGCAGAGAAATGAAAGGGCACTATCTAGTGGTTCTAAGAGAAGGAAGGTGCTGAAATGCTTATGATGCTAATTTTCCTTTTAGTCTCAGTTGTCTGGAGTAGAGGAATGGTATCTAATTGTTAGAGATGTGAGAGATCTATAAAGCTGTGAGCATCTCTATCTGCGGAAGTCCATCATCAGGAAAAATGCATTTCTTTAATTACTGGCTCAATGAAGATGCATTTCAAAGTGCATTTGGGAAGGAGAATCTATAACCACCCTCCTGTAGGCCTATACTCCAGCCCTCAACTCAGTAGGTTCCAGGGAAGAAAGCACATCACAACATGTGGCATTCACTCAGTCTGTTCTGTTTCACAGAGCTGACTTTATCCCAGATAACCGCCCCCTTCTCCCCACCTTTTCTGGAAATGCATTTCTGCTTAAGAGAGCAAACTCAGTCATTATCTGGTTTGGTTCCTTTGGGGTTGGACTATTACAGATTATTTTTTGATGGTTTGGGGGTCAACTTGATAGAGGGATACGGCATCATGACATACTGTTCAGGAGAACTGCCTGCTGATTTGGCATGGTGGAAATTTTCTCAACTTTCTTTCTAGAAGCTATGTAACAGATATGGCTAAGGTTAAAGGGAATTTGTCACATTGTGAGACATTTTATGGGTGTGAAATGGTTCTAGCATTGGTATTCATTGTCAAGTAGTTATGTAGCTTTGGAAATTTGTCCTTTTTGGATCCTGCTTCTCTTACATTAAATGTCAGATATGAAAGAGAAATTTCTGGAATTCTGACTTTGCATGTTATGTAATCTGGAACATATTTCCACTGCAAATATTGAACTTCTAAGAGGAAGAATAGCAAATGCCTGGCACTTTGCTGCCACCTTGCCCATGATCAATTCCACTACTCTAATTCTCTTGGTCTAGGCTTAGGTGTGGACTCAGAATCTTTCTCCACACAGTGCCTAGGAGGCCACTACCAATCACTTGAAGTTGACCTTAAAGGTGGAAGCTTCTTGCTGATCCTGGATGGTGAGAATTCAAGGTTCCACACTGTTCATCACATTGAGGTTTCCATTTTCTTATCAGCTTCTAAGGACAATTTGGTTTTCATGGCAACAGTTATCTTCACAGACTCACCAGGATAAACTCTCATATTCAATTTTCAACATATGTCAAGGAATAAATATCTGAATGTGAAAACAAATGAAATGAAATGCAGCAAACAGTAACAATAAGGACAGAGGCTATATCAATATTAATGAATGATGTTTGTGCTATGCTATATTAAGTAGGAGAGAGAGAGGATTTATAAAAAATCTTAAATTTGGTCTGGAAGAGCATCCTCACATCTCAGTATAGGGAAAAAAGTCCCGCTTGGCTAATAACATGTTAGCAGTTCATAGTCTCTTTTCTTCAGGGACAAGAACCACTATGTTCAAGGCCTTACATCCTATGTACGTTTATGCTAATCCTTGAATCTTATTTAAATGCAGTATTATATAGTCAGTACTTATTCATGGTATCCATTTTCACTGGTGATTCTCAGACTTTATGGGTAACAGAATTTCCTAGGGAGTTTAAAAAAATATGATTTTGTGGGCCCCATCTCCACAGAGTTTGACTTAATAGATCTGAGGCGATGCCTAAGAATATGACTTTTAAAATCAAGTCCCTCATATTTCTTAGGTCATAATTTGCAAAATGGTCACCATGCTCAGGTGAAATATTTCTCTCTTGAGCCTAAAGTCAAGTATGATGGCTTTCATTTGTCATGTAAGTGGCCACATGGTGCAATAATTTAATTCTGTGGTGCTCAGCTTGCGTTACATGTTAAAGAGTAGATTCAGGAAGCTGTATGGTGAACAGTGGTGGTTCTTGAGAATGACCCCTAATGGCAAAAATATTCATCTATCTATGTGATAATATTACACTTTTGGTATCCCCTGATGGAAAAACATATGGAATAATAAGATGCTATGAGTTCAGTAACACTTACAGCCATCTAGATTTCATTAGTCCCAACAGCACTTATGAACATTCCAAGGTCTTGGTGTATATATGTTTGAAATATATCATGTAGTTAATCAACACATGGTAGATTAGAAGACCTCATGAAAGAATTTCATATGCTAACCCATTCCATGTGTCCTCCTCTCTACCCTAAGGGGTTCTTGACAGAAATTTGAATTTTTCAGAATAAGGAGAAGCCCAGAAGACTTGAGTTTGAATTATACAAATAATGGATACTGGCTGAGTCATATAGTTACTTAATCCATAAACCTAAATTTCTGTAAAAAGATGATGACACATATATATTAGATATGCTTTTATTTCCAATTCAGAGGGTACATGTGCAGGTTTATTTCATCGGTATATAGTGTAATGCTGAGATTTGGAGTACAATTTATCTTGTCACCCAGGTAGTGAGCATAGTACCCAGTAGGTAGTTTTTCAGGCCTTGCCCCCACTACCTCCCTTCCCCTTCTAGTAGTCCTAAGTGTCTATCGTTCCCATGTGTACCCAATGTTAAGCTCCCACTTATAAGTGAGAACATGCAGTATTTGGTTTTCTGCTCTTGCATTAATTTGCTTAGGATGATAGCTTCCAACTGCATCCCTGTTGCTGTCAAGAACATGATTTTGTTCTTTTTTATAGTTGCATAGTATTCCATGGTGTATATGTACCACATTTTCTTTATCCAATCCACCATTGATGGACACCTATGTTAATTCCATGACTTTGCTATTGTAAATAGTGTGGCAATGAGCATATAAGTGCATGTATCTTTTTGGTATAATAATCTATATTCCTTTGGGTATATAGACCATGGTTCAAATGGTAGCTCTGTTTTAAGCTCTTTGAGAAAGGTGATGTTAATTTTGTATAGTATCTTGCAGGTGCTCTCTTGATTTCTTATGTCTGGATGTCTACCTCTGTAGCAAGATTAGGGAATTTTCTTGAATTATTCCCTCAAATATGTTTTCTAGGTTGTTTGTTTTCTCCTTTCTCAGGAATGCCAATAATTCATAGATTTGCACAATACCATTACATAATTCCATACTTCTTAAAATCACTTTACATAATCCCATACTTCTTGAAGACTGTTCTTTTTTTCAATTTTGAAGCCATTTTTTTTTGTGAAGTGGTTATTAACAAGTCTATATAAGGTTAGGATTTCCAATTAAAAGTTTTAAATTGAAAGCCTTCAAAGTTCAGTTGTATGTCATGTAGTGAGGAGTAGCACTGAATTTGGCATAAGACTTAATGACCTTACTTACAGCTTCCAAGAGATCCTTCTCCAAGAGATCCTTCTCAGTAGCAATTTTTCACCGTGCTCTGATGGCAAACATACCAGCTTCTGTGCAGACACTTCTAATCTCAGCAGCAGTGCCATTTGGACACAGTCGTGCTAACAATTCAAATCTGATATATCTTTCAACACTCATTGAATGAGCGTGAATCTTAAAGATGTGGGTCCGACCCTCTAGATCAGGCAAGCTAAATTCAATTTTTCTGTCTAATCTGCCTGGCCTCATCAGTGCTGGATCCAAATTATCAGGTCAGTTAGTGGCCATCAGCACTTTAATATTGCCTCGAGGATCAAAACCATCAAGCTGATTGATCAGTTCCAACATCGTTCTCTGCACTTCATTGTCACCTCTAGCACCATCATCAAACCAAGCCCCTCCAATAGCATCAATTTCATCAAAGAAGATAAGGCAGGCTTTTTTTGTTCTGGTCATTTCAAAGAGCTCATGAACCATTTGAGCCCTCTCACTGACATATTTCTGTACAGCTCAGATCCAATAACTCGAATGAAGCACGCATCAGTCTGATTAGCAACTGCCCACACACAGAGTGTCTTCCTGTACTGGGTGGATTAAAGAGCAGCATGCCCTTGGGAGGCTCAATGCCAAGATTCACAAACCTCTCTGGATGAAGTAATGGGGTTTCAACTACTTCTCGCAATTTCTCAATCTGCTCCTTACAGTCACCAACATCACTGTATGTGACAGGTTTTTCCTCCACCTGCATCATGGTAACTGTTGGGTGAGTCTTAGGAGGCAATGGAATGTGAATTTGATATTTATTTCTGTCCACACCTACTCTCATCCCTTCTTCAATGTCAGTGGGTGCCACCTGATCACTAAAGTCCATCACAAACTTGGCAAACTGCTTTACATTGACAATGTATTTTGGGTCCTCTGAATCAGCACTGATTATCTTTGTACACCTGGCAACCTGTAAAGGTTGTTTACTCTGGAGTGTCTGCTTATCTGCAGCCAAATCCCAGAGTGCTGGTGGAGCCAGGCCAGTGTCAGATTCTTTAATACCAGTGAGCTCATTAATTTTCTTGAGAAGTTGCTGAACGCCATCTTCGACTTGCTTGATCTGCCTAAAGTAAGTGCTGTGACCATAAGTTTTCAGCAAGGCAATATCCGCCTCATCCAGAACTTGGATGGGCTTGTCATCCTTCTCATCATCTTTGGTCTTCCGCTGATGGGCACCAAGGTAATCTGGCATTTTAGCAGTTCCAAATGCCTCTGCTCCTTACTGATTACATAGCACCTTCCTTTCTTCTGGTGGTGTCTGAAGACTGTTCTTTTTTAAAAATTATTTTTTTCTTTATTTTTGTCTGACCAGATTAGTTCAAAAGAATAGTCTTCAAGCTCTGACAGTCTTTCTTCTGCTTGGGCTAGTCTATTGATAAAGCTTTCAGTTGTATTTTAAAATTCCTTAGGTGATTCCAGAAGCTCTGATTGATTTCTTTTTAAGATGTTTATCTCTTTCTTCATTTCCTGGATTTCTGTAGAAGTTTCTTTGTGTTGATTTTCAACTTTGTCTTGGCTTTTGTTGAGCATCCTTGCTCCATGGTTTGAATTATTTATTATTTCTGAATTTCCATTTTGGTCAGGGAACATTGCTGAACAGCTAATGTGATCCTTTGGTGGTGTCACAATGTTCAGATTTTTCACGGTGCCAGAATCCTTACACTGGTTCCTTCTCATCTGGAGAGTTTGGTGCTACTAATTTTTGTATTTATTTTCATGCTGGTAGAATTTTTTTTTCTTTCCCTATATATATTTCCATTTCTCCCCTTTCCTAGAGGATGGGACTGTAGAGTGTGTTGGGTAACATCTTTTGGCTTTGCTTCTATAACCCTATGCATTTTTGTGGGCAGTTTTATATTGGGCTGTGTGATTCAACTTACAGGCCAGTAGACGGTGCTGACAGGTATGAGCCAGTTGCTGCACAAACAGATGGGTATGTACATGGTCTGTTTGCTGTGAGGTGCTCTCTGTTGTTTTACATGATGGGCTGGACAGTAGAGTGCTTGGTGCCCTGTGCTTCTTGCTCTGTGGGGGTGGAGAAACAAAGCTAGGCAGAGTTGGAGCCTTTGGCTTGCCCACAAATACCCCCATGGTGAGTGCGGGCACCAGCCCTGTCAAGGGTGGCTGGGAGGAGTCCCTGGTGAAATGCACTGAGATCTCTGGGGCGGGGCAAGGAGATGAGGGATCTGCACTGGCTCCCCATCTTTGATAGGTAGGAACATGGTCTATTTTCCTATCATGCCCCTGTTCCAGGGCTGATGACTCCTCATTCAGACACACACTGTAGTCTGTGTCTAGACCAATGTGTCTGAGAGCCTCAGAAAATGCCTCTTTTGTGATTCTCCATTAAAGTGGTTTGGGGCAACTTCATCACTCAGCCTGATACAAATAGCTTTATGGCAGGGCTGTTCTCTGATATGATAGCACTGCTTCTTTGTGTAAAGGCGGGGGCTATGCCTTTGGGCTTGTGTGAGAAGTGGTCAGGTGCCAGCAGAATTTGAATGGGATAGGTAGTTCCTCAGTTTCCAGGCCCCTAGATGGTCCGCTGGACTGCATGTATGAGTCCTGAAGGGTCTGGAGCCAGATCAGGCTAGCCCAGGATTCAGGTGCTGACTGCGATAGAGAGGGGCAGGCTGGCCCCTGGGTCACTGGATGAACTCTCAGGCAGGGGCAGGCAGAATGCTTGGGTGGTAAGAACCTGAGGGAAGACCTGTGGGGGTAGGGATTTCAGGACTCTAGACTGCAGCTGAAATGCTCATGTGGAGGCAGGGTGCTTGCACTGGGTACCAGAAGTGGCAAGCAAAGGCAGGGAGTTGTGGGGTGTGCAGTCTGCCCAGTTCTTCATATCTGGGCAGCGGTGTCCTTGTTGGAGATGTGTGAAAGCATTCAGCCTCTTTGTTTCCACCTCAACCTGAGGGCAACAGGGGCGAGGGCAGAGGGTTTTTCAGTTATATCTCTTGGAGTTCCATCCCACAGGACCCCAGAGCTGCAACTTTCTACAGTATCCAAGCAGGGGCAGCTGTGCTGGGAGCCTCAACTGGTGGTCCCTGCCTGGTGAGGAGCAGCAGAGGTGGGGTCTGCAGTTGGTCTGCTCCTCAGTACTGTGGCTGTAGCAGCTATCCTAGGGGCTTGCAAAAGAGCCTGTCTTGCCTGTCTTCCCTTGTTGGCAGCACATTGACAGCTGGTGTCAGACTGCTCTGGGATCCAGTGCTTGTGGTGCTCCATGTGGGCTTGAGAGATATCTCTGCATGGACTCCAGATGGTTCTTCTTGTTGGTCTGCAGGCCCGGATGGGTCGGGGGAGTTCTCCTGTGCCCAGGATTGCAAAGGGTTTGTGGGGACATTGTGGATCCCCAGTGGCTGTAATCATTCACTTTGTTCTTCTTTGTTCTCTGTGGGTCCCATTGCTTCTTTAGTGAATCGCAATGTGTTCTCTTAGAATATCCACTTGAAGAGCCAGTGTTTACTCACATTTGTTTCTTCTCTGTGGGAGCAGCTAGCAGGCATCTTCATATATATATATATATATATAATATGATCTCGTTCTGTCACCAGGCTCGAGGGCAAAGGCCTGATCATAGCTCACTTCTATCTCCAACTCTTGGGCTCAATCAATCCTCCCATCTCAGCCTGCTGAGTTGCTGGGAGTACAGGCATGTACCACCATGCCTCAGCCTCCCAGATCATTTTGATTATAGGCATGACCCACTGCACCTGGGTCCTAATGAGTGTGATATAAAGATTAAATGATGTAATGTATGCACAATTTTTGACTTGAAGTAGGCTGTCAATGTTAGTTTTCTTTCTTCTTTCAAAATAATTAACAAAATGAATCTTTAAAACAATAGTCCCAGGAGAATCTGAAGCTTTAAGCTCTTTGTTTTGATTCAGCTCCAGTGTTCCAGAGGCTTTCCTTGTGTACATGAGATAGTTTGGGGGACTTTCTGTTTGGTGTTATGCTGGTGCTCTTTTGTCCTATGCTATTTTCATGGCTGTCAATTGACCAAGGGTCTATAAACACAGTACTCTCACAGTAATCTCACGAAAATCAGGTGCAGAATTGGAGTGGGCTTCTACAAGTTATTGGTATCTGACGCTACTGGTCATTAAAATGATTCTTGTCACTTGAGGAATGATACAGAACAACCACCAACCCCATCTCCTTTCACTCAAAGAGGAGCACAAAAGGTATCACCCATAATTAGTGTGTTTTGTTGTTCATGTTCCCAAGTCAACCCTAGAGATGGAGCCAAGGTTATCACATCCACATGGAACATTCTTTTTCACCTCTAGTCAGGAGATAGCAGGAGGAAGTTTGTGTTTCTCTCTTTTTCTGCAACTATGCTACAATTTGACACTGAAAATACTCAGGCTCGAGGTTTAATTTGAATATCTATGGTATAAAATTACCAGTGTTCACACCCCCTAGCATTTTCCTGACAAATTAATTGCCAATACAATTTTCAGCAGTGGGTATGTGTGGAGCGAGGCAGGGTTGAGAGTTCAGCTTATGGGAGGTAATTATAGGTGCCCTTGGCTGGGAAAGAGCACAGATGATGCTAAAGGAGCCAATGTTTTGGGTAAGCAGCACCTGCTCCTTTGCCAGCTCTGTAGACCCATGGATCTGGGAAACATATATAATTTGGAGGATTTAGGGTCTACCTTTGGTCACATAATTTAATCTCTTAATCATCGTGTGTTCTGTGGTTGCCGTGAGCTCTCTGAAACTGAACTGTGTGTCTCCATTACTTGGTTCTTAGATCTTTTCTCCATTTATTCAATACTCCAAGCCTTCAAAGCATCAGGATAAAGAAGGCAAACAGCAAAACTCTCAAAGGCAGAGAGTAAATAAAGCTATAAAGAGATTCTTCATTTTGGCTAGGTCTAAGGGAAGGGGCACTTTTGTTGATATATCTGAAAGTAAGTGGTCTCCTCTGAAAGAGGTGGAAAAACATTCTGTTGAGATGAAGCACCTGACCTTTTAAGAAATAATCTCTGCTTATTTCTAAGTATTCATTGGAAAACGATTTATCTCAAATATACACCTTTAGACAAGATGCATTAGTTCCTTTTTCAACCTAAGCCTCTCAGGAGTTGTAATCCTCTAGCATCTGAAGATATTTGCTGTTGGGGTTATTTTAATTTTTATTTTATTTAATTGTAAAAACAATAATAAAAACCAAGCAGACAAACAAAAACCTTAAAAAACCCTAAACTGGGGTGAGGGAGGATTGGAGGAGTAGATGGTTGAAGACCAGAACAGATATAAAGCCATAAACATCCTCCTTAAACTTTTTCAAGTTTTAAAAATACTAGCAATTTTATAGATTTGTTTTCATCTCAAAGATATTTTTGAAAATAAAGGGTTATAACATTATTATGTGACAAAGTAAAATAACAGAGAAGTGCACATTTGATTCCATTAAGTCTTGTTCTCAAGTTTTTCCTGTGATGTCAGTTGCTTTTAAAAATATGAAAGATCCAGTGAGAATAAGATAATATTTCTGGCACTCTAGTCCCTGCAATAATGGGATTGGAGAGAAAGGAATGAGGATATTTGCTGGCCAAGGTTAATATACAAGGGTTTCATCCTGTCTTCTTCATGAATTTGAATCTCATCACCCAAATATCTCAGCTACAAGGATTCTGCTATGTTTTCTGGAAAACAAGTCCACTTTCAGAACTCTCACCAAGTTAATCACAGTCAGAAGATGCCAAGGTTGGGCAGGACCATCTACTCCAACTCTTTCATTTAACAGATGAACTAAGGTCCATAGATGGACAAGGGACTTACCAAAGATTGTCCAGCAGGTTAGTTTAGAATAAGGGCTAGAATCTAGGTTTTCTTTAAAGCAGCAATAAGCAAGTGCTATAGGAATAATCAGTTGCTTCACATGGATGTGGGCCCTGAATTCCTAATTTGGAAATCAGTTGTGCTCTACAAAATTCACAGATTCGTGATGCTATTTGATACAAATGTCATCGTGTTGACAGTCAGGTGGACCTTGGAAAGAAGAGAAAAAGAGAATAAACATTTATGGAGCATCTACTATTGCAAGAAACTTCCACTTTACTATTGCATGTGATTTTCACATCTCCCTGATGAAGTGGATATTATTTCTATTTTTAAATGAGAAAATAAAGGCTCAGAGAAGTTGAACAATTTGCCAAAGACCTTGTAGATGGTAATGTAGAATTTGAACCCAGAAATATGATTCAAAGCCCATCTAAAGTCTTTCCATTCACTCACCACTTTTTGCTTCACCCCATTACATCATTATTTTTGCTACTCTTTCCAATACTAGGCAAACCACAAAGCAGGATCTAGATCATTAGCCTTATCATTGAATGCAGGCATTTATGGTGCATTTATCAAGTACTTAGTTTTGTAGTGGGTGTGTGGAAATGCCAAAGGGTAATGAGACCTTTGTGTAACTGAGAAGGGCTTTCTAGGTGTAAAGGCATCAGATAAGTGTGGCCTTCTATTTCAACTCGCAGGAAATTCATTTTCCCATGGTGTGCAAGGCCCTATGTCCTTGCTACTCAAAGTGAGCTCTATGAACTAGCAGTGTCAGCATCACCTGGTAGCTTTTTAGAAATGTAGAATCTCAGCATCCCACCCCCATTAGATTCTGCATTTTAACAAGATTTCCAGGTGATTTTTATTCACAATCAGGTTTGAGATGCACAGCCCACCTCCTCTCTGACCTTATTGCCCAGGTATAGTAGCCTTCTTTTTGCCCCTAAACATGCTTACCTGGCTCCTGCCTTATGGCCTTGGCATTTGCTGTTCCATTTGGCTGACCGCTTTATCTTCTAATTTTTTTATGACTCTATTTTGTTCTTCAGCTTTCTGCTCAAGCAATATTGTCTCAGAATGTCTGAGTGCTGACTTCCAGGGAACTGCGTTATCTTGTTATATTTTCTCATAGTATTTATTCTCTGAAATTATACCATTTATTTATTCGTTTACATGTTTATTATCTCTTTCCTCACTAGACTGTTAAACTCCATTAATGCAGGAATGATTTGCCTGTCTATTCATTGTTTTATTCCCAGCACCTGGAACACTGCCTGGCCCAAGTTAGGCATTCAATACGTATTTTATGAATCAATAAATGAATGAACAATGGACAATATTTCACTGCTATTGAAATTTCGACATGTTGATACTAAAAGCTAAGATTATTTGTTTTATCTAACCAACCATGAATCAATGTGACAACAACAGTTTGGTGTATTTTCTGGTTTAAGTTCTTTGATGCTGCAATTCATGAATCAAGGAAAGCTGCAGGAGAAAGAAAATTCTCTTTTTAAACTTTTGTCAATTTCATAAAAATATTGATTTTGTTAGGGTGGCATTTGGGGATTTCAGACATATCTGTATAGGGAAGTTTTTCTCTTAATATCTTTTCAGCAATTTCCCTTGAAAAATGCAGATGTATGGATTTGGCACAGGCAAAAGTACTATGGAAACCTTCCCTTTTGATTCACAGGCACCTACAATGAAGTGGTTTGTTTCTTGGCTAAAAACACCAGTTTAGAGAGAGTTCATGCATACTTCACGAGCTGACTCTGCAATAATACACTGCAGATCTTGCTGGAAGGAACAGCAAAGGTAACTCTCTGAATTCTGATGAGACATCCTGGGAAGAACTCTTACACCTACTATTTATGAGAGCGTTATAAAAAAGAAAATGAGAAAGAAAAATGATTTCACACTTAATATATGTCAGGTGACTTAGAAAACAAGATCTCATTTTAATTATTGTGACAACTTTGTGAGATAATATGACCCCATTTTACAGAGCAACAAATGAAGATTCAGAAATTGAGACTTGTTCAAAGGCATCTTTCTAGTAAGTGGTAGAACTGAAATTCAAGTTCATGTTCTTTCCATCATGTTGCTGTCCCATTCTCAGTGAAACTCCATCCTCCACCAACTTCCCACTATATTTTGCAGTTGCCTTTATATGGCAACTTTTTTTGTGTGTGTGTGTGAGCCAAATTTCCTTCTGGTTTCAGAAGAGCACCCTAGAGACTAATAGCCTCATAAAGAATTTATGAGAAAAACAGAAGTGATGGTGCAAAATCTTCAGTACTGCATGGACAGGAGATGCTTAGATCTGAGGTGAGGAAATCCAGAGATGAATGTTTTGTTTACCTCATGGGATTGTGGCATTGTTAGCCACTCAATCCAACCAGATTATAATGTATTAAGAATTTGAAACATCAGCCATTGTGGTTTCACATACACAGATGTATATTATTTTGTTAGCCAGGTAATGACAGTCATTGTCAAGTGGAAGATCTAATCAGACTGAATATTCATTCATGCCTTGCTTTGTCAATAGGGAAAAAAATTTCAAGGACAATCGGATATTCTCTCAGATGACTGAACCTTTCTTTCCATCTACCTGAAGGCGAGGAAAGGAGGAGGGAGGGAGGCTTGGACAGCACATCCTCCCCGATTAGATCCCTGCCCTAAGCCCTAGCCCTCTTTTAATTCTTTCATATGCCAAGAGGTCATTGTCCAATTCCTGAATTTCATTGCTCAATGTGTGACAGAATTTGGGTAATGCCAATGGTGCTCATCTGCAACTTTCTGGAAATGGCATACCTTGAGCTTTTACAAAACTACTTTAAAAAGGTTTCGTTTGAGTTTAGAGACTTTTGGAAGACTAGAGCTTTGTAAAAGATACGTTTTTGCTCATCTCCTGATTCATTATCCATTCTTTCAGGAATAAGAATTCAAAAGACAGGAGGGAAAGTTGCTTTCTTTTAGATTATAAAGTTGCTTTCTTTAGTTTATAAAATTTTTGTTAACTCCAGTATCTTCCATGGCTCAGAGGGGACAGAAAAAAACAAAAACAAAATCAAAAACAAAAACAAAAAAACAAAACCAGCCACCAAATGATTAGGGAATGATTTTTCTCACTTTATTCCTATTCTGCTTTCTTTCTCACTTAGAGGATCTGAATGTGTCCTCCTCCCCTCTCTGAACACATTGTGCCCTAAGGGTTTTTATTTGGAGGTCATTTGCTTGTTACTCAAAGTCTCCTTCTACTTGAAATGAGTTTTCTTGGGAGTGATGGTGAAATGCCCAGAAATGTCTTCTTAACCTTTGATGTGCCTAAAGTTCAGCATCTCAACACTATTTTAATAAAATCTAGGCACCAAGTACAGCATTGTTTCTACAGATAATGAATTCTGAATTCTTCTTTCAGTGGAGTTGTAGAGACTGAAATCATTCTTTGGGAAGCAGTAACTCATCTCTTTGTTATCCTGGACTATGAGTGAGGGTGATCTTAAGAGCCTGTACACTTTGTTGTTCTTAAAAGGGCGAAGATGGGTAGTACCCTCCCAGGGGCAAATCTTAGCCTCTCCCTATCCAGGACTTTGGAAATCCCATTTTCAAACTAGAAAATGCTTTACCTTAAATTCAAGTCTCCAGTTGTGTTTGTATCTTTTTCAGTTGTTGAGTAATCCTGTCTTGGGCAGGTGCAGTCCCATGATAAATTATAGTGTTTAATAATAATTTTTATCCTTTATAAAATTTATATGGGGGAAAATTCATGTGGAAAAGGGTTAAGAATACAGTTCAAGGGGGTAGCAGAATCAGATGAAAACATTGGTAGTGGGTAATTCCCTAAAAATCTTTTAGAAGCCATGGGTCATTATTATCATCAGCTGACTGATGGGACACACTATTCTTTCTATATTCAGGCCTTGTCTGGTCTAAACAGAGAAAGAGTCCTTCAGTAGGGTTCATAAATATCTCCCAAGACCTTTGGGTCCAACTGAACAATCTGATCTTATTACAAAACATATTCTCAGTTTTTTGGTAAGTCTCAGAGGAATAGAAATATTAAGTTATAGTGGTAAGTACATAAGAGACAATGAGGCTCTGTTAATAATAAGCTATTGCCAGATGTACACAAGAACCATCCTACTGAGTATTTGGTGTTTTCTCCCAGAGATTTTTAGATCTTTCATTCATTTATGCATTTGATACATACTTACCGAGAATCTTTTACATGACAAATACTTTTGTAGATAAGAGGTTGGAAAATGATGGCCCATAGGCCAAATCTAGCTCATCCAAGTTTTATTGGAACACAGCCATGCTCATGTGCTTACATATCATTTGGCTGCTTTCATGCTACAATGGCAGAGGTGAGTAGTTGCAACAGAGGCTATATGATCTGCAAAGCCCTTTATAGAAAGAGTTTGTGAACCTCTTTTCTCAATAATGGAGAGACATCCATGACCTAAATGAGCCAGCATTTTGGGGAGAAGATATGGTGCTGGAGACAGAGACAATAAACAAGTGAATAAATATACTAAGTGCTATAAAGTAAACAAAACAGAGTGATGTGCTACAGAATGAGTAGGAGATGGAGGAGAACTTAAAATTGTATGGCCAGAGAGGCCTTCCTGAGGGAGTTACATGTGCAAAGGTATATCTGAGTGGAGGGAATGTACATAAGGAGATCTGGAGAAAGGTCATTGGAGCTAAGAGAATAGCAAGAGCAAAGACCATGGTCTGGAATTAGGTTGGCATGTTCAAGGTGCAGAAAAGAGATCTATTTGTTTGAAGTGGAGACAGTGAGAGGTAGAGTGATAGGCAGTGATGTCAACCAGGTAGTCAGGAGCTGAATCAATGGGGCCTTATAGGCCACGATTCAGCATTTGGATTGATTCTAAGCACACCAAGAAGCCTTTGGAGGGCTTGAAGTGGGTAGTGACATGACCTGATGATGCATGCTTTCAAAGACCATTCTAAGTGTTAGGAAGTGGGTGGGAGGTGAGCAGGAGGGGAAGCAAGGAAGCTGATTAGGATAACTCCAAGTGAGAGGGGATGAGAGCAGTGGTGATGATGGAAGTGGGTTGACTGGGTACACCTTTCAGAGTTATGGCCAATGAGGCATGCTAATAGATTGGATGTGAGGAGTGAAGGAAAAAGAGGATTAAACATGACTCTTAAATTTTTGAATTGAGCAACCAAGCGGAGGGCGGTGTATTTAAGTAAAGAACACTTAGGGTAGAACAACTTTGGTTAGGGGAGGTGGATGGAGTTCTGTTTTGGGCAAATTAAGTTTGAGATGCCTGTTAGACGTCCAAGTGAAGAGGTCAAGTTAGCTGTACATACTTTGGATGATCAGAGTGGTATCAGAATCAGAAATATGAATTTGAAGTTTGTAGCATGTAAGTATTTTCACAGCCATGATACTAGAAGAGATCACTTAGGGCAATAACATTAAAAGAAAAGAGGAGAGGGCTACTAAGTGGGTATAAACATGGTAAAGATCATCTCACAAAATGGGAAAAGTATGAACTGGACCAAGGTTCCAATTCTTTCCTGCCGTCTGCCAGCCACATAGCCTTGGTTGGGACCTTTTACCTCTTTGGTCCTCAGTTCCCTGATTTTAGAAAATGTTGAAAAATCTATTACTTTTAGCCTCTGATTTGAACAGTGGTTGATTTTCAAATCATGTTTCTTATCAAGTCATGAGACACTTCTACTTGGAGGCATAAAGTTCCTTGATTTCCATGTGTTCTCACTTGAAATCATCTTCCAGCTTTGTGTATCAAGGAACAGAAATTTGGGGGATCCAAAGTTTGCAAAATTTTTCCAGATCTAGATGCAGTTTAGAGGCTCCTGGCTTCCTGGCAACTTGCCCACCTGTGCTGATAATGCTGGGCAAGTCGTGATGCTTGTTATGTATAATCATCTGAGTTGATGTTATGGAGAGCAGCCATATCTCTACAGCAGAGGAAGAGCTATCTGCAGTTGGAAGAGTTTAGAGCAATCTTTCAGGGCCCTGTGCCTGAGTGTGGCTGGAGTGTGGCCAGGAGACTAATAATTGAGCAGTTCTGCCAGCTTTTTCAAAGGGATCCAGTGGACCTCTGCCCTCATTGCATCATCCTAAACTGGGGAAATGGATATTATTATTTACACTGAATATTCTTCACCTGAGTCAGTCTAGGAGGATTGATATCAGATCATCTTAGACTTTGTGACAGAAGACTCTGCATTTACAGACTGACTAAGACAAGTTGCTCACCTTGTTTGAGCTTAGTTTCCTCTTTCTGTGAAATGCATGTAATACCTGCTTTATTGGGTAGTATAAGGATTAATGGAGGTCATCTTTGTGAAAATGTCTGAGTCAGTATTAGTGTTTTTTTTCCTCCTGTATACTCCTGAATTATTCTTAGCATGCTCTGCCCTGAACGCAATGGTGGTAAAGATGAGAACCATGACCATCCTTGGTAAGGATGTCTCAGAGGATCAAAAGGAATTCTATCACAGGTGAGAAAAGGAAGATTCACCTGTAACACTGAGGTGCTACTTCCTGTATGCCACTAACTCTCCTGTGTTACAAGTATGATGTGTTAATTTTATCATTAAAGACTACCTCCCTGACCCGCCCTGCACAGACACTGAATGTATTGAACTTAAGCAAACTCCACTTATTGTACATTTCTTCTATGTTGAAAACAGGCTATGATGTAAGGAAGCATGAGATTAATGAGGGCAGAGGGGTGAAACTGCTTCCAGCTTGACTTCCATCCAATGCTTGAGGCATCTTGGAGATTGTCAGTGACCTACAGAACTTTCCTATATATACAATAAGAGGAGTTAATTCAAGACCGGTGCATGTGAGTTTACTCAAACTTTAAAATGCTTATGATTCATCTTCAGATTTTGTTAAAATGAAGATTCTGATTTAGTAGGTCTGGAGTGGGGTCTGAGATTCTTCATTTCTAACAAGTTCCCAGTGATGTTGATACTTCTGCTTCAAGGACCACATTTGAGTAGCATGGTTCTAGATTTATTCATGGTCTTAAATGCTATGACTTTATGATAGAGAATATAGAAAGCATACCCATCTATCCATCCATCCATCCATCCATCCATCCATCCATCCATCCATCCATCCATCCGTCCATCCATCCTTTCAATGAATATTTATCTAGTGCTCAACATGGGTCAGGCCCTGTGCCAGACAATGGGATTATAGAGGCAAATGTGGCCTAATCTCGTTTAGAAAATCATACTCTAGTTAGGGAGACAGACATGAAAACAAACATTTTTCAGAATCACTCTGACCCAGATTCCTGGAACAGCAATTTCTTTCTTGTCCTTAAAATCCTTATCTATTCTCTGGCTAAGTTCCTTTAATTCACACATACTGAGGGCATCTTAAATGATATCATATAAGGCAGAAATCTGTTGGCATATCCCTAAGGAAAAGAGAACTGGACTCAGGGCATCACAGAGTTCATTTTAAGTCTCTGCTCTTTTGTAGCCATGAAACCTTAGTCAAGATTCTTTGGGCCTCAATTTCACTCTGTGTAAAATGAAGGAGAATCATACCTAGCTTGTTTAGCACATGGGATTTTTATGTAGCTTAAGCTGAAATAATAAATGTGAAAAGTGTTTGAAAACTTCAAAGTGATACACATGTGTAAAGAGATGTTTAGCTTCTTGTGTGTACATGCACTACAGTATTGTCTGTAATGGTGACAAATAGTAGAAATTATGTAAATGTCTCAAAAATGAGACTGTAGTAAGTTTTGGGCCATATGACTTGTACTAGTCAAGGGACTGTGAGCAACAATGACATGTTGCTAGTTCTAGGCTGTGGCATTTAAGAGCCAATGTCCCCCTTCCATCCCTCCCTCCGTCTGGTGCAGAGACCCTGAAGGCCACACATACCAGATTGTGTAAATACATGCATGATGGTAGCAACCCAGACCTCTAAGTAACCATTTGGAGGAGAACCACATTGGAGATATCTTATTTCAGTTGTTGAGTAATCCTGTCATATACTGGCTTGTTTAGCACATGGGATTTTCATGTAGCGTAAACTGAAATAAATGTGAAAAGTGTTTGAAAACTTTAAAGTGATACATGTGTAAAGAGATGTTTAGCTTCTCATGTGTATGTGCAGTACAGTATTGTCTAATGGTGACAAATAATGGAAATTATGTAAATGTCTCAAAAATGAGAGTACAGTAAGTCACCCAACCCATATCACAAGTTTTGTGAGGATAAAAAAGCAAAACCTTGTATCATGTTAAGCTGTTGAAACCTTAGAGTTGCTTATTATCACAGCATAGACTATCCTATCCTAAATATATAATTAATTCCATCAGACTTTCTATGCACTTAGATACATAGGCAATTGCAAATATATGGTATTGCCATGCGTATTTTTGCCACAAATGCTTTTTTACTATATATAGTATTGTAATGTATTATTTTTGTTCAATAATGTACTGGAGATATGTGTTATTTGGTTCATGTAGATCTACCTAATTCTTTCAGCAGATACAAAATATTCCATGTTAGACATATAAGCCATTTCTACATTGGTAAATATTCTCTGCCTCTCTATCTTTCTCAAATAGACTGAAATAAGTATATTTGTACCTGCTCCTTGGCACATGTGTGGGTGATTTTTTGGAATAGATACTGAAAAGTGGAATTGCTGAGTTATAGGACATTTAGATTTCAAATGCTAGAAAATACTGCCAAATTGCCCTTCAAATTAATTGTATGAACTTATACTTCCTCCAGCAGTGTGTAAGAGAGTCCATTTTCCATACCTTTATATTACTTCTTGAGTAGGAATATCTGAAAATTATTGCTTATCTATTGCCATGTAACAAACCATCCTCAAACAACCATTATATTATCTCTCTTGAGTTCATAGCGTTATTAGACTCAGCTGGGAAGTTCTGCTCCTTGTGGTATTGGCAGGGGTTGCAGCTATCTGGGGGACTCAATTGGGCTGGAATCACTGAGCTGGCTTGTTCACATGGCTGCCAATGGTGCTGCTGTCTCCTCCATGTGGCTTGACAGAAGAGCAGCTGGGTTCCTGGAGAGGAAGCAGGAGCTGCCAGTACTCTTAAGGCCTGACCTCTGAAGTAATCCCAGATATCATTTTCCCCATATGGTATTGGGTCAAAGCACTCCCAGGGCCATCCCAGGTTGGAGGGGAGGGCAAAAAGACTCAGAAATGGTTGGTGTTCATCTTTGGAGACTATTTACACAGTGATTGTATATTAAAAAAAACAGCAATTATATCTTTGAATTTGAGTAAAGTTAAAGAAATGGTATCTGTGAAACTTCGAATAAACAAGTGGAGCTTAAAATATTTGATTCTTGCATATTAGGTTAATGTGCTCTATGCTAATCAGGTTGGAGAAATATTAAGCTCTGCTAGGAATTCTATTGGACTGAAGGTAAGTCATCCTGCCAGTAACTACCTAAGTCAAGGTGTGAACAAGCTGGAATTTCTTCCCATTCTAATTTTTTTCAAGTATACCCGTAGAAAACAAAATGAAGAATCGGGCTCAGAATCATTTCCAGCTACCTATCACATCTTTGGAAGCTTCAAGGTTAGATATAATGGAAAGCATGCAAAAAAAAAAAAAAAAAAAAAGAGGCTGAGAAGTGTACAAGGTCTGCAGCATTCAAACTGATGTTTCACTAATTAATATCCTGCTCCACAGATGATGCAGGAGGTGAGGCAAATGAAGGGGCTATGGTAGGAGAGGAGGGCAGATAGTTGGAGGCAAGTCCACAGACACCACAGGTATATCAGATGGACCAGGACAGCTTTCCTAATCTGTGGTTTTGATTTGCCTACACCATTGCCATGTGGCCCATGTAATGATGGGAAGATATGTGGGCTAAAGGGGAAAGAGGGAGATATTTGTCATGTCTACCTGCTCATGGCTCCTAGACAGGATCCTTTCTTTCCGCCTATTCTAGACAAGATGGCTATGAAAATGTTTATGGTTTTGGTTGAATTATTTTAAATTTGCTGGGGAAAGGCCATTAAACACTAAATTTAGGGCTTCCCAAAATGGACACTGAGAAATAAAAAAGCTTTATTGAGGAATAACATCTTTGAAAAAAAAAAAAGGAACGAATGGGATTGTGTATGGAGGAGAGTCTAGAGTGTGTTGCCAAACTGGCAAAGCATCTGCCAGCCAAATGGGAGAATTTGGAGGGAAAATTGCCCACTATAGGCATCCTGCATTGGGTGGAAATGCCTAGTTCTTTTATGAGGTGCCTTGCTTAGTCATTGGTTGGTGGCTGCCCTTAAAATAGTGTGCCTCTGAAAGTGGAGGCAGACCATGAGGTTGCTCACAGCTGGAGGCTGTTAGACAACTACATTCTTTCCACCTGGGCAGCGAGTGCTTTCTTGAAAGATCTGACTAGTGCTTCTCCATGTCTGCCACATGTAACTTATCTTTCTCCAGTTCATTTTTTTTCCTCAAAGCTGCACTGAGAAAGCAAGCTTTGCAAGATGTTCTCTGTTATTGATTTCATCTACAGACTCTCCTTGGTTGCAAGTGTTTGAGAGCAAGTTGAACTTGCTTAGGAGAAAAGGCAAATTTATTGCTCATGTCATTAAACCATGGGAAGGCCAGAAATGATTTGAAACCAGAAACTCAGATGCCCCCAAGATGGCTGCTGCCTCTTGTCTCTGCTTCTCTTCGTGTGATGGGCTTCTTTGAGAGTGCCAGAAGTAATAACTGCACTACACTTACTTCTCTCTGCTTCTGCCAACAGAGGAGAAAAATTGCCTTACCTTTCTGCTTGGTTCTAGTGTTTAAAATCTCAAGAAACGATTCTGTGAGTCTGCCAGGGTTGTATGCCAATTTCTAGATCAATCATTACTGCCAAGGAGGCAAGGTAGAAAACTGGCAACTCCTATTTAAACTACATGATCCAAAGCAGCATTCCCAGAAGCAGGGGAAGGGTGAAAAGGCAATGCAAATAAATGCTTACCCTAATCTTTCTGTTTCTTCCCCTAGTCCTAGCTTCATTTTCTAACTATTTCCAATGTCAGATGTCAGTTTAAAGGTGAATACACTCAATTTTAATCAGGCTTTTTGCACAGCGTTCAGGCTGTGCGAGGCTTTATAACTCAAAAGAAGTGTTTCTCAGCCTTTTAAAGTTGATATTCCTTTTGAAAGAAAATGAAGAATATCAAAACCTCATTCTTCCTAAACCCCAGAAATTTGGACATTTGTAACTCACCTGCTGCTTTGAGAACCACCACTAAGAAGATTTTTTTCAGTTTTATTTTTCTATAAGCTTTGTATCAGTTAGCTATTGTAGCAAAACCACTCAAAGATAGTGGCTGCAAGCAATAAGCATGAATTTTTGCTCACATGTCTATGAGTTGGCTGGGTGTTTCTTCTGGTCTCAGCTGGACTCGCTTATGCAGCTATGCTCAGCTGTGGGTTGGGTGGCCACTTAGGTGATCATGGCTGGGTTTGATCACATATTTGGGTATTAGCTAGTTGTGGGCCAATCTAGGGCGGCTTCATTTAAAACAACTGAGCTCTGCTCTATGTGGTCTCTTGTCCTTCAGTAGGTAAGACCAGGTTTGTTCATATGGCAGTGACAGTTTCTAAGAGAATGAGAAGTGTGCAAATCCCTTGAGACCTAGACTTGAAACCAGAAGAACATCAAAACCAATTAAAATCCAAGGAGTGAGAAAATAAACATCACCTCTTGGTGGGAGAAGCTGCAAAGTTATATTGCAAAACATGTGGATACATGAAGAATTGTGGCCATTTTTGAAAATGAATGATCACAGGTTTTTTTTTTTGAGAGATGACCTTAAACTTTAAAATATGGTCTTTTATTAAAATATTAAGTTTTTCACACTACACCTCTTTCCTTCCCATATTTATAATTGTGGCACCTTCTGCCATCCTCCCTTCACACACCATGTACCTGTATGTTCCAGTTAATAAACCACTCCTTTGGAAAAGGACTTAGAATTTGGAGAGAATTCAAGGAGGGATTTTCCATCTGACCAAAATGGAGACACAGAGGCTGGGTTTACAGTGTGTATGAGGAGGATGGTTTAGATAAATAAATGAAAGGAAAAAAAAAACCCAGGAGATGAAGTTACCTCTGTAAAATGAGGGGGTGAGGTTGGATGACTCTTAAAATACTATCAGGATGGCACATATTGAACTTGAAATTTATAGTCTTTATGATTTACCCTGCCACTTTTCTTTTTCACAGAAATTCCCCCAGAATAATTGAATGGGCAGGCAGCCAGAGGAATGGGGCATAAAAGCGGTTTTAAAGTATAAAACAGAGTAATTTGGGATAGTAGCATGGAGTCAGAGCAAGAAAGAATAGTAGCATTTGCTGAATTCCTCTTATATGCTAAGTTTTGAACTCTGAATCTTACGTTGTATTTTATTTTTCCCACAACCTATGTACCAGGCAGTATCCTTCCCATTTTACACAAGAAGAAATGGAGACTCAGTAATATTAAGAAATGCTCCCAAGTCTCACAGTTAGTGGAAGCTTTGCTTTTGTTTATCCTTGAAAATCAGTGATTGGAGGGTGGGAAACCGAATAGGGACAGCAGCAGACCCTGCAGGCAGCTGATGGAGGAGGAGATGCAAGCTCTGTGATGACTGTGAGCCTCTTACAGACCTGCCCTACATCTCCTTTATCTTTGTATCCCAACTACTCAGCACAGCGCCCAACACATGACAAATATTCATGTTGGAGATATGATCATGCATTATTCTGCAAACACACTAGGGCTCTGTCGATGTGTAATTATTAGAACATGACTGAAGTGATGTAGAGTGTCTCAGTCTATTAGTGCTGCTATAACAGAATACCATAGACTAGGTAATTTATAAAGATGAGAAATTTATTTCTCACCATTCTGGAGCCTGGGAAGTTCAAGATCAATCTCTGGCATCTGGTGTGGGCCTTCTTGCTGCATATGGGGAAGGCAGAAGGGCAAGTGAAAGCAAATTCACTCCCAGAATCCTTTAATAGTGGCATTAATTAATTTATGAAGGTGGAACCCTTATGACCTAAATACTTTCCCAAAGGCCCCACCTCCCAACACTGCATTGGGGATTAAATTTCCAACACATGAATGTTGGGAGGCACATTCAGACCATATCAGGGAGCAAACAGATGAAAAGAAGGCATGGCTGAGGACCACAGGAAAATGCCAGTGAATGCCAATGAATGCCAAAGCCGGAAGTTCCATGCCTATCACTGTGGGGGTTGGGCATTGAGTGAGGAGGAAAGCTGCTGGAGTCCAGCTTTCTCAGCCCAATGGGATTGGACACTAACATCCTCCAGAAATTGCTAAAATCAGAATTGATGCTTCTCTCAAGTACTGAGAGAAGGAAACACCTGGAATCTCTCAGCTTTGCCACACCTAGGGGAAAAGTCAGCATTAACTGAAAAGAAAATATTCTAAGAATGGAATAAAATATAGGGAATAGACAATCTTTAGGATGCTTCTATATGCCATGAGGGTATTCTGCCTTATTATAAAATGACAGACACTGACTATAAATTCGCTACAGCAATGGGTAATGAAACAAGTGTTCACAAATACAGGACTTTGAGTTTAATGCATATGTTGCTATTATTGCTGTTTTAATCAAACAACCAGTAGTAATACAATGGGAGGCTTTCTTCTTAAAATGATGGATAGGATAAAGATACCCAAGAAAAATAGTCTCTAAGACCTAAAGGTTTTGGTGATAGATGATTTAAAATGATTTACCAGTGTGGTTCTAGTTATTATTGTTGTATAACAAACTAGCCCCAAAACTCACTGGCACAATATAACTACCTCATTTTTTTAAATTAATTACGTCAACTTTTACTCTTAATTCTCCACACATTATAAACATAGAATATGACAGTTTTTACTTATGAGAGTATATATTTTTACTTATTAGCTCTGCAGTGTGCAGAGTAAAACTTGTTCTTTCCTTTAATCAGAATTTTTATGTGTTGTTACATATTTTTTTATTTTTGAAATCTTTTTTTTTTATTATACTTTAAGTTTTAGGGTACATGTGCACAATGTGCCTGTGGGGTGGGGGGAGGGGGGAGGGGTAGCATTTGGTGATATACCTAATGTTAAATGATGAGTTACTGGGTTCAGCACACCAACATGGCACATGTATACATATATAACTACCTCATTATATTCACAGATTATGTGGGTCAGGAATCCAGACAAGAAATAGCAGAGATGGCTCCTTGATTTCTGGGGCCTCACATTCAAACTCTGGGGGTTTCTCAATGGCTTGGGGACTAGAATCATCTGGAGGCTTTTTCCTCTCATATATTTAACAGTTGATCCTGGCTGTTGGCTGACACCTCAGCTGAGCTCTGAGCTTAAACACCTACATATGGCCTCTCCATTGGGCCTAGTTTGGGCTAGGTTCTAAGAGCAAGTGTACCAACAGAACATGGTGAATATGAAGGGAATTTGCTAATCTAGGCTCAAAATTCACATAGCATCACTTCTGCTCTATTGATTGAGGAAGCCACAGAATTCTGCCAAGCTTTAAGTGGAAGGGACGTAGACCCCACCACTCATTGGAGAAATATGTGGGTTACACATGGGATGAAGGATGGTGTGGCCGTCTTTGGAAAACGCAGCCTAAACACAGCCTATCACAAAGGCCTATTCCTTTTTTAATGATTCAATGTCTGGTGTCATCATAACCAGCAACCTTCCTGGCACTAGACTATTACCACATTGGCATCATCCTGGACATGAGAAGAAACCTCTGACAACTCATTCTAAAAGAGAATGCTGGGCTGGAGATTGAGTAGCCAGAATTCCAGATCCAGCTCTGCCACAACTAGCTGAACCTAAGCTCCTCAATTATAAGGTTTTAGGGGTTTAAGATATTAAGATCACTGCTCTTACTATGGAAAGAAACTTGCTCCTTGGGCATTAAGCTAGATTCCCAAACCCCACCCAAGGAGGTCTTTATACCAATCATGTCATGCTGTACTTCTAAAAGCCTCTGGCCCTGGTGAGAGCAGATCTATGTGCCTCTTGACCCACCTCCCCACCCCCTACCAGTGCATCAATTTGTACTAGGGAATCTGGAATTGCCAATGAGAGGCTAACTAGGTGTGGCTCACTGTTGCAGAGGGAGATGTGTGGAGCCGTTTCCTACCATATGCTACTGATGCTAGAAGGCTGCTTTGCAGAAAGACAGGAGTAAGGACTTTGTGAAGACAGAGTTAGTGGTTGTGTGTGTGTGTGTATGTGTGTGTGTGTGTGAGAGAGAGAGAGAGAGAGAAAGAGAGCAAGCAATCACATGGATGAGAGAAAATGCAAGAGCACAAAAGTGAGGAAGCTGAAGTGAGTGACATTGCTCATGATTTTGTGGTCTCTGGTTTCAGCCTCTTATGATACCTGCTGTGCTTCATCCACTTTAGTTCTAAGACATCCCTGCAGTTTCCAGAAAATTTCCCATTTACTTGAGAAGTACAAATGGAATTCTATCCTTTTCAACAAATCATCCCTGACCAAGATGCATATTCCAACCTCACATACAGTGAACTTGACATTATAACCCAGATAAAACTCATCCAACTCAGAAAAATTCTCCTCCCAATCCTTACCAGTCACAGCCTGGTGCCCACATTGTAAAATCCTTGATGAGTCTCAGCCTGCAATTTATTATTCTTTGAGGATATAGAAAACAGAAGAAGACAAGTTGTAAATATTTGGTCCTTTAAGAAACCTTACAGTTTAAAGACCAAGCCCCTTTTATTGCGAGAAAGGAACCGAGTCTCTTGTAGAGAGGGGAAGTGACTTGCCCAAGGTTGTCTACTAGTTAACAGTGGAGCTCAGATGAAAATCAGGTCTGATTGTCATTTCAGCCCCTGCCTGACTTCAAATCAGCCACAGCTACCAGGGAGAAAGCAGCTGATTGAGCAATCAAATATGTGTTTTACATTTACATTGCTTTTCTCTGCACTCTGTTTGTTCTCATGGGAGTTAGAATCTACAGCGAGATGTTAACTGCCAGCAGCGATGAACAGATTTGGTTATTGCCCTGATGCAACGAGCAGTGAGAGTGGGGGAGAATAGAAGAATTTCATTTTAGGGGTCAAATTAAATTTGTGCAAGCCCAGCATGCTTCTGAAAACTCTAGCAACATAGCCTAGGTTATAACATGCACAAACATTGAAATCACTTGTGGACCTTCCCAGTGAGGGAAAGGAATTGATATAATGTCATTTTGAGGCCACTTCTACTTCCATGATTCTGATTATATTGCACCAAAAAGACAAAAATGTTTCTTTTCAACCTTTTATTCTGGAATATTTTAAACACATATAAAAATGGACAAAATAGTGTAATGGATCTCCAGATGATGATTTTTAAAAAAGCTTTATTGATGTATAATCAATATACAATAACTTGCACATATTTAAAGTGTACAATTAGAAAAGTTTTGACACACACACAATCGTGAAACCATCAACAGTCAAGATAATGAACATATTTGTTACCCTCCCCCTCACGTTTTTTCATACCCCTTTGTAATCTCTTTCTCTGGCAACTCCCCATGGTCTCTCCTCTTCTATATCCCCCTTCTCCCTGTCTGCAGGCAACTGCTATCTGCTTTCTGTCACTGTAAATTAGCTTACATTTTAAAGAGGTTTATATAAATGGAATCATACAGTGTGTACTCTTTTTAACGTCTGATTTATTTCACCAAGCGTAATTATTTTGAGATTCATCCATGTTGTTTCATGTGTCTGGCTCATTTCTTTTTTATTGATGAGTAGTATTCCATTGTATGAATATGGCAAAGTGTGTTTGTACATTTATCTACTGGTGAACATTTGCATTGTTTCCAGCTTTTGGCTATTAAAAATAAAGTTGCTATGAATATTTCAGCACAAGTCTTTGTGGGGATGTATGCTTTCTTTTCTCTTGTGTAAATACTGGAGTGGAATAACTGAATCATATATTAAGTGTACATTTAACTTTTTAAGAAACTGCCGAACTGTCTTCCAAAGTGATGATACTGGCCGGGCGCAGTGGTTTATGCCTGTAATTCCAGCATTTTGGGAGGCCAACTTGGGTGGATCACCTGAAGTCAGCAGTTCGAGACCAGCCTGGCCAACATGGTGAAACCCCGTCTCTACTAAAAATACAAAAATCAGCCCGGCGTGGTGGCAGGCGCCTGTAATCCCAGCTACTTGGGAGGCTGAGACAGGAGAATCACTTGAACCCAGGAGGTGGAGGTTGCAGTGAGCCGAGATTGTGCCACCGCACTCCAGCCTGGACAACATAGTGACTCCATCTCAAAACAAAACAAAATCTGAAAGTGATGATACCATTTTACAGTCCCATTAGCAATGAATGAGTTCCTCGATATCCTCACCAACATTTGGTATCATCAGCTTTTAAAATTTTAGCCATTCTAATACATACATGCTGTTATTTCATTGTGATACTTATTTTCGGTTTTATAATGATGAATTATGCTGGACATCTTTCTATGTGCTTATTTGACATCCATGTATCTTCTTTGATGAATTGTCTGTTCAAATCTTTTGCCCATTAATTTTTTTTTACTATTTACTTTTAATTGTTATATATTTGGGTTCAAGTTCTTTATCAGATACATACTTTGCAAATATGTCTACCAGTCTATGGCTTGTATTTTATTCTCTTAATTGTGTCCTTTGAAGAGGAAGCATTTTAATTTTAATAACGTTTAATTTATCACCTTTTTTCTTTTATGAATCATACTTTTAGTATCATATCTAAGATATCTTTGCCTAATTCAAAATCATGAAGATTTTCTGCTCTGTCTTATTTTATAATTTGTATCATGTTATATTTTCCATTTAGGTTCAGGATTCATTTTAATTAATTCTTATGTATAGTAAAAAGTATGGATTAAAATTTATTTTCCTAGCATATCCAATAATTCCAGTACCATTTGTTGGCAAGACTATTCTTTCTCCTGTGAATTGTCTTTACACTTTAAAAAATGATCCTGGAAGTTTCAAGGAGGAGATTACATTTGATCTTTACTTTAAAGAATAACTTGGATTATAACATTTGAGTGAAAGGAAAGTCAGTGGCCAGAAGATTAGATAGTGCAGGACTCACAGGACAACACTGTTCAGACTCATCTCCTTTCACATCCCCTGACTCCAAATGCCCTGATGTAAGATCCAACTAAGCCAAATGGTATCTTGTGTTCTGTAGGAAACATGCTCTCTCTAAGCCAGAAGACTTAATAGGTCCTGTTCCTTCTACCTGGAATCTCTTCGTTACTTCTCTCAACTATACTTTCCTCAGCTAGTCTGAACAGTCTCTTGGGACTTAGCTTTTGAGAAGCATTCATCAAACCCAACTCTATGTACCCATAAGACACGTTGCTAACCAGGTATGGTTACATAACTTTCAGGAGCTAGTGTGAAATAAAATAGCAGACCCTTGTTCAAAAAGTAGGAAAAAAGTCTATTAAAGATACTACAATACAAAGCTTTATCTTTTCTTCCATGATCTCTCTCTTGACTTGTGTATTTATTTGCTATTTGCTATTTATTTTCTATTTAATGTCATCCCAAGTAAAGAAAAAATATAATTTTGAATGGTTAGCATAAATTTTACCATTCACCTCTATATTGTGAAATGACAGTTTAATTAAGAGCATTGATCTCACATGTAGAATCAGTGAAATTATAGAATTCTTGTTTCATAGCTTGTACATGCAATATTTTGTTCTTCCCAGTGAAAAATATACACAAAACTAACTTAACATTTCTAAATTTCATTTCTTGATAAATATTTCACCAATACTTTTTTTGAACTTTTTTTTTTGTTATACTTTAAGTTCTGGGATACATGTGCAGAACGTGCAGGTTTGTTACATAAGTATACACGTGCTATGGTAGTTTGCTGCACCCATCAGCCCGTCATTTACATTAGATATTTCTCCTAATGCTATCTCTCTCCTAGCCACTGCCCCCAACAGGCTCTGGTGTGTGATGTTCCCCTCCCTGTGTCCATGTGTTCTTATTGTTCAAATCCCACTTATGAGTGAGAACATGCGGTGTTTGGTTTTCTGTTCCTGTGTTAGTTTGATGAGAATGATGGTTTCTAGCTTCATCCATGTCCCTGCAAAGGACATGAACTCATCCATTTTTTATGGCTGTATAGTATTCCATGGTGTATATGTGCCACATTTTCTTTATCCAGTCTATCACTGATGGGCATTTGGGTTGGTTCCAAGTCTTTGCTATTTCCACCAGTACTTTCTACCTTCAGCTTACTGATGAATAAGGAAGGAATGAAACAAAAAGGAACTATGAGTTGCCCTCTATTTTCCTTTCTTTCTGTGTCATCATTTTTAGCATAAGTGGTTGGCTAATATGGGGAAGTGATACAAACTTTTAAAAAAGAATATAATAGTGTTTCTTGGTCATACATGTTTGCTAGAATATCATTGCATTCCTTCTGTGTTTGAAACAAGTTCTGGTTTGAGCCTTAAGTGTGGCCTCTTGGGCTGTCAGCTGTCCCTCTCCCCTCTAAAGCACATGTAGAAGTAACTCTCTTTTCTTGTACTCACTTTGAGTCTCATTGAGCTCTCACGCACTGTGGTCCAATGGAATTATTTGGTCACTTTGAGCCTCATTGAGCTCTCATGCACTGTGGGTCTAGTGGAACTATTTGGTCACTTTGAGCCTCATTGAGCTCTCGTGCACTGTGGGTCCACTGGAATTATTTGGTTACAGGGCATTGCAAATGCTAACTGCAAATTGTTTGGCAAGAAACAGTGAACATGCATGTCACATGTATCTCCTCTGATCAAACACATGCTCTTTTATAAAATGCAAGTTTGAAGATAAAATTACTAAGATTTTCAAGACAATAACTGCAGAGCATATAACCAGGGTCCTTCTGAGTGTGGGGCCCTTTTTGACTGCACAGGTGGCATACCTCTGACACCAGCCCTGGTGCTAACTCAGATCATTTATCACTGTATCATAAATGTCAGATGTCACCGTTGAGTTGTTTGGAAGTTGCATTAAAGTTGCATTAGTCAAGATTCTCCAGTTAAACAACAAATAGGACACACACACACACACACACACACACACACACACACACAGAGAGAGAGAGAGAGAGAGAGAGAGACAGACAGACAGACAGACAGACAGAGAGCAGGGGTTGGGGGGCGGTGGTAGATTTTTTTCCCCAAGGAATGGGCTTATGTGATTATGGGTGCCGGGGCTTGCAAGTCCAAAATCTACAGGGCAGGCCAACAGGCTGGAGACCCAGGGAAGTTTTGATTTTTCAGTCTTGAAGCTGAAGGCAATCTAGAGGTAGAATTCTTTCTTCCTTGGGAAACCTCAGTCTTTTTTTGTAAAGCCTTCAACTGGTTGGATGAACCCCTCATATTATGGAGGATAATCTGCTTTATTCAAATTCTACCAATTTAAATGTTAATCACATTTTAAAAATACCTTCACAGCAACATTTAGACTGGTGCTTGACCCAAAACTGGGTACCATAACCTAGCCAAATTGACACATAAAATTAAGTGTCATAGAAGTAGGCTCTGAGATAGATACCAGTGTGTAGGAAGTTTATTAAGGAGTTCTCCAGGGCCAACATTTGTGGAAGGGAAAGGAAGAGAAGGGAGCAGTATTGGGCAGAGGGGAAAGCTGAGCTGAGATACAGTCCCAATGTCAGCCAGACCTATGAGGAATTCTGCAGAGAAATGACAGTTCACATTTGTCCCAGTTGAGGGCAAAGGACTGGGCCTTTTTATGCCCATGTCAATCAGTTATTGGATATGAATTCCTCATATCCAGAAAGGGGGTGTGGCCTTGGGCAAGGTGACTCTCTTCAGCCCAGGCATTCCCTCTAAGAGGCTAATAGCACTTCCAGCATGTGGGGGAATGAGACCTTTCACACCAGAGGGAGACCAGAGTGCCACATCACAGCATCTGCCACTCTTAGCCTCCCTTTCCAGTTATACTTCCCAGCCCTACATGAGGGTCAGGATCTTATTATGTTTCCTCTGCACTTCTTACACACAGCCCCTTGTCTGGCACATAGTAGGCACTCAACAAACCTTTGTTGAATTAATCAACAAAGATACTGAGCAAAAACTAATTTTCTCTCACAAAAAGCAGATCCTGATAAAGAACAGAAAGGCCATGAATCCTTATGGAGCTTTTCACAATTCATGCAGCTCTTCCACATTTGTCCCATTTAAACTTCACAACAATCTCCTGAAGTAGGGAATGACTGTTCTCATCTTTCTAGATGAAGAAACTGATGCTCAGAGAAATAAACTGGTTCTCCTGGAGTCACAGAGTTAATGAATGGGTTTTTCAGGATTTCCTTTGCTACAGCTTAGAGTGATTCCATTATGTTGACTAAATATGTCCTGTCCTTCTTACCTAAAACATGGCCCTCATGGTTATGCTCTAAGGTTAAAGTGAACTACAAATACTCTACCTTTGTTTCTCTGCCCAAAGGATGCTGCTGACTTGTTCTTCCAGAACCAGTGTGAATTAAGGGAGATCCACCTACATTTTGGGGGCTCACATTGTGGCTGCTGGTGTCAATGGTGGGTTGAGTGGCTCTAAAACATGTTGAAGCTACTTTAGTGACATCCCCAGGGATAGAGCTACTCCCTTGTCCTTGTTATATAACAAAGTTCCAACTACCCAAGCCAACTGGCCACCAATAACACAGGGTCAACCTTGAGGCTGTTAAGAGGAGGGAGATTTATGGGAGCTCCTCTTAAATGTTGCTTCTTTTACTTCCATGGTGTTGACCTTTAAAAAAATCCCACAGACTATCAGATGAAAGTAAAAATAGCCTTTCTTGGCATTGAATAATCTGACTTTCCTTGACGAAGAGGTCATAGATTTCCCTCTTCAGATGGTTTCTTCTTTTTGATTAACTAGCCAAATCTATTGAGGAAAGAGGATTCAACTCTTTGGAGGAAGAAAAATGGAAATGCTTAGGTAAAGGACATCTTTTTTTAAAGCTGCGTTGTTAGGTGACTTCCATTTGATCTTATAGAACCCATAAAGTATAGATCTGTGGGTTGGAATGATAGCCATAGAACTAAACTCTATTTTTTGAAAGCAAATAAGATGTACCTAATATGTCTTCTGCTTCTTGGATGTCCTAATAACAAAGAAATTAAAACCAAAAGTCAATATCCCATGATTCTGTGCTCTGAAAGTTATCTGTGATGTAACGGGAAACAGACTCAGATACAAATGCATTTTAGTCCACCTCTGTATTTACTAGTTCTATGACTCTAAACTTTAATTACTCAACTGTAAAAGAGGAATAAAAATAAATGCCTTGCTTGGCTATTGCTTAGGTCACATAAAATGAAAGAGAAAGTTCTCTCTAAACAGTACAGCGATTTTTACTAAAGTACTTTATTAGTCATAAGATTAGGAAGGATGAAAGATTTTTGAAAGCCTGTGCTAATTGGAAGTGTTGGGTACCAGGTCTCATAATTAATTGTCATGCCATATTTAATCTAATCATGAGTAACATGATAGCCTATGGGATTATTATACCAACAATTTGGATTCTAGAAAGCCCTGTGATAGTTGAGTAACAAATTTGTGCTTTTTCAAATGGTAAATCATTACCTATTGGTGGACCCAAAACTACTTGACCCATTCTAATGTGTACAGTTCATGAGTTTTGACAAATGTGGAGACCCATGTAACTAAGAGAATATTTCCATCACTGTAAAAAGTTCCCTTGAGCCCCTTTATAGGCAGTCCTCTCCTCCAGATCCCAGGCACTATGGATATCTATTTAGGTCATTAAGAATAGTTTCTCTTACATGTAAAATTATATAAATGGGATCATACAGTATATACTATTTGCATCTTCTTTCACTCATTATAATGTCTGTGAGGTTCATCCATGTGTGTGAATCAATAGTTCCTTTCTGTTGCTGAGTAGTATATTTTTGTTAGAGTACACACAATTTGTTTATCTAGACACCTGTTAAGGGTAGGCGATGGTCGTTTCCATCTTTGGGGGGGATTATGAGTAACATTGCAATGAACATTTATGTGCAAGACTTTATGAGAACATATGTTTATATTTCTTGGATAAATTCTATGAATGGCTGGGTCTTATGGTTAGTGTAAATTTAATTTAATAAAAAGCTGCCAAACTGTTTTCCAAAATTTTACTTTCTCATCTGCAATGTACATGAGTTCCAATTGCTCCACATTGTCTCCAAAACTTAGAATTGTCAGTTTTAAATTTTAGCCACTCTAGTATGGATTAGTGGTATCTCATTTTATTTGCATTTCTCTGATAAATATATTTTAATGTGTTAATTGACCATTTGTATATCTTCTGTTGTGAAGTGTCTGTTCAGATATTTTGCCCATTTTTCAATTGGTTTGGTTGTCACTGATAGCTTTTAAAAATGAAACTAAATAAAACAGAATAGGAAATATCAGAATACATTGCATCTGGTATATTTTGTTTCATTGAACTTCTGTTTCAGTATTATACATATAACTACATGCATCTGTGTATACATATATACACACATATACATATATACTATTTTGTAATCTTAAATACATTATTATAACTTAATATCAGATTTATTATTTAGTGATAAAAATATCCCGCTCCATATCTTAAGCCCATGGAAAGTCAGATTTTCTTATACTTGAAGCTGAAAGCATATCTGTTCTGGCTTATGCTTCTATAATTTCTCCCTGGGACAACCTCTTTACATTCCACTCCTTATATTTTATGCAGATTTAGAGTTGTACATTTGAATAAATATACAGCGGATTGTTCATCTTGCTTGGTTGATTGCTAAGTGTGTGATTGCTGAAAAGTGGAAATCATTTCTAGCCACTGACATTTGGATTCATAAACTTAGATGGAAAAGTGGTAGAAAAAAGAAGGATATGCAAGATATAAAAGACCTTTAGAGAAGGAATATCAATTAATTTTCAAATTGATAATAGTAGTTGTAGTTTTTCAGAAAGTTTCAGAATTTATTAGCTATGCCATGTTTGGTTTTAGAACTTTGTATTGTCAGGGGATTTTCTCTTTTGACTAGTGACAATGTTAAAATGTTTGCAATATAAATTCTCCGCATGCTATTTTGAAAAGAAGAAAGAACTTTTCTGTTCATTTTCATTATATTCTACACATTAAAAACTTAAAGCTAAAACTACCCTTTTTATGGTTTGAGCTGTCCAGGAGTTTGTTCCACAGCTCCTCAATATGGCTGAAAGATGTTTTGCTTTTTGGCATTAAGCAGCTGGCTAAGGGAAACATGTCCTCCATCCAGAGAGAGCTGTTTCCTGAGATCTTGCTTTTATTTGTTAGGATAATACAAGCTCCACTAATAAATAAACCTCCACATTTTAGGGTTTAATACAAATAGAAGTTTATTTCTATCTTATGTAACCATCCAATGTGGCTATTCCTGATGGGGTGGTGAGTGCATGAATGGGTGTCTGCTCCATGCAGTATGTGCAGTCACTGAAGGACCAGGCTGATCGAGGAGCTGCCATCTTCAGTATGTTCTTCCCATCATTTCCCCTGATCACTGGCATCTAACCAGAGAAAAGACCAGGGAAAGGAAGATCATGCTTGGCAGTATCTCACAGGCTGGGCGTGGATTTGTGCACATCACTTCCACTCCCATTCCTTTGGCCAGAACTCAGCCATTTGGCCACACCTACTGCAGAGGAGGCTGGTCCACTGTATTTGGCTGTTTGCTCAAGAAGAAGAGGAAAACTTGGATTTTGAGGCAGAGCTTGCAGTCTTTGTCACTTCACACTGTCCCTTTCAATTTCTGTAATTTCTTGTGGAGATAGTGAAACACAGAGACAAAATGAAGATGAGAAAAAGAATGTTTGCATACAGCAAGTGGGTGGATCCACAGGGGAACCCAGATATCTCAACCTGTCCTATTTTACAGACCACATGAACAGCCTCCCCCTTCCAGTCTCATCTCTCACATCATACTCCAGCTGCACTGGACTTCTAATTCCTCTAGAACTCCAGGCTCAGGGAATTTGCATGGGCTCTGATTCCTGCCAGAACACTCTTCCTCCTATTTGCTAAACGATATCCTAAGCATGTTTTGTGTCTCAACTTCAGGACTTACTCCTCGAACAGATTTTCCCTGAACTTGAAGCCTAAATTTGGCCCTTTTATTCAGCAGTCTCAGAGACTCCTCTTCTTTTCTCCTTCACAGCAGTGGTTCTCAACATGAAGTGGAGAGGGGGAATTTTGACCCCAAAGGACATATGGCAATGTCTGAAGATATTTCTAGTGGTCACAACTTGACAGAGGGCGGGTACTACTGGCATGTAGCAGGTAGAGAGATGCTGCTAAACACCCTACAATGCACAGACTGGCCCCTCACATCAAAGGATTACCTGACCCATAATGTCAATTGTGCTGAGGCTGAGAAACCCTGTTGTAACATTTATCACAACTTGTAAATATGATTTATTTGTATGTTTGTTTAATGTCTATCTCTCTCACTAGACTAAAAGGGATGGTAACTACTCATTCACTGTTCTTCTCACTATACTACATTGCATGACACTGCCTTCCCTGTATGCAGTCTGCTCATCACTCTGTTGGGGTTTGCAGGTTTCTGAGAAGGGGCAATATGAGTGGAGGGTAGTGGGTTTTACAAATTTGTCTCCAGCCTCACCCCCCAGACCACCCACATCATACCTCCTCCTTCTCTTTCAATAATCAATACTCAATGCTCTAAGTCTTCTCTCTCCATCAATAATTGTTCCTCTAGCAGATTTGAAACTGATGCACCTTGAATGTAAATGATAGATGATACTCCCAGAGGCCCATTGTAAGAATGAGATAATGAAATGTTACCTTTTCTAGATATTTTGTAGATTGTGGAATTTTCATCTATTTTATTTTATTTTATTTTATTTTATTTTATTTTTGAGATGGAGTCTTGCTCTGTCTCCCAGGCTGGAGTGCAGTGGCACAATCTCGGCTCACTACAACATCTGCCTCCCAGGTTCAAGCAATTCTCCTGCCTCAGCCTCCCGAGTAGTTGGGACTATAGGCATCGCCACCACACACCTGGCTAATTTTTGTGTTTTTAGTAGAGACAGGCTTTCACCATATTGGCCAGGCTGGTCTCAAACTCCTGACCTCGTGATCCACCCGCCTCAGCCTCCCCAAATGCTGGGATTACAGGCATGAGCCACTGTACCTGGCCCTATTTATTTATTTATTTATTTTTGAGACAGAGTCTTGCTCTGTCGCCCAGGCTGGAGTGCAGTGGCACGATCTCAGCTCACTGCAGCCTCCACCTCCTGGGTTCAAGCAATTCTCTTGTCTCAGCCTCCCGAGTAGCTGGGACTACAGGTGTGTGCCGCCACACCCAGCTAACTTTTTTTTTAGTATCTTTAGTAGAGATGGGGTTTCACCATGTTGGCCAGGATAGTCTTGATCTCCTGACCTCGTGGTTCGCCTGCCTCAGCCTCCCAAAGTGCCCGTTTATTTTTAAAAGTCTTTTATTTTAACTAGGAAAGTAACATATGCACAGTAAGGAAGAAATAAGTAGAACAATAGAAAAAAATGTAAAAAGTCACTCATAGTCCCACCATCTGAAGAAAAACACTGTCCATATTTCAAAACACTTTTCAACCAGAATTTTCTCTATGTGTAATATTGTGTGGGGTGTGTAGGTGTGTGTTCATTGTTTTTTTTTTTTTGTTTTGTTTTTTTTTTTTTTTTAGAAAGCAAGGGGACAAATAGTTGTTTTTATTTACTTGCTGAACTTAAAATAGATTACATAAATTTCCACATTGTACTAGTTTGAATTAAAACCACAAAACTAAGAACATTTGCTGGAATAGAATCTGTTTTTGAACCTAAGTTACTACTTAAATAGCATCATATACTTTAACAAAAAGTATAGGTACATGATTTTTTGGCCTAAAAATATTACCAAACATGGAATCATTGGATCTCAGACCTTCTAGCATCCTTTACCAAAGTTTATTTGTCTTATTATCTTGAAATAGGTCTTTATAAAAATATAGACTATAACTAGAAACAAATATCTTTTTAAGACTTCATATAGTTTCAAACTAGAAATCTAATTGAGAGACTTAATAAATTACAAACTTTAGTCAAAATATATTTTCAGTAATGACATTCCTAAGTTAGGCTTTCTGATGTCACACAGTTCTAGTACAAGTAATATAGGTCATTTCTCAACCTCTAAATAGATAAAAATCATCAATATCATATCTTGTTATTCTTTTACTCATTTGTTTGACATAGTGAAAGTACTATGTGAGAGGAAATTCTATTAATGAGGAGTCTTTAAAATAAATGTTATTAATTTTTTAATCATGTGAATAGAAGAGGAAATGAAAGTACTTTTAAACTGGCTCATTCTTTCTAATCTCTTTTCTACATTTTAATATTCCTTATTAACTTAATTTCTGTTTATTTGTTTGAACTTTTTTTTTTATTATACTTTAAGTTTTAGGGTACATGTGCACAATGTGCAGGTTAGTTACATACGTATACATGTGCCATGCTGGTGTGCTGCACCCACTAACTCGTCATCTAGCATTAGGTATATCTCCTAATGCTATCCCTCCCCCTTCCCCCTACCCCACAACAGTCCCCAGAGTGTGATGTTCCCCTTCCTGTGTCCATGTGATCTCATTGTTCAATTCCCACCTATGAGTGAGAATATGCGGTGTTTGGTTTTTTGTTCTTGCGATAGTTTACTGAGAATGATGATTTCCAATTTCATCCATGTCCCTACAAAGGACATGAACTCATCATTTTTTATGGCTGCATAATATTCCATGGTGTATATGTGCCACATTTTCTTAATCCAGTCTATCATTGTTGGACATTTGGGTTGGTTCCAAGTCTTTGCTGTTGTGAATAGTGCCACAATAAACATACGTGTGCATGTGTCTTTATAGCAGCATGATTTATAGTCCTTTGGGTATATACCCAGTAATGGGATGGCTGGGTCAAATGGGATTTCTAGTTCTAGATCCCTGAGGAATTGCCACACTGACTTCCACAATGGTTGAACTAGTTTACAGTCCCACCAACAGTGTAAAAGTGTTCTCATTTCTCCACATCCTCTCCAGCACCTGTTGTTTCCTGACTTTTTAATGATTGCCATTCTAACTGGTGTGAGATGGTATCTCATTGTGGTTTTGATTTGCATTTCTCTGATGGCCAGTGATGATGAGCATTTTCTCATGTGTTTTTTGACTGCATAAATGTCTTCTTTTGAGAAGTGTCTGTTCATATCCTTTGCCCACTTTTTGATGGGGTTGTTTGTTTTCTTCTTGTAAATTTGTTTGAGTTCATTGTGGAATCTGGATGTTAGCCCTTTGCCAGATGAGTAGGTTGGGAAAATTTTCTCCCATTCTGTAGGTTGCCTGTTCACTCTGATGGTAGTTTCTTTTGCTGTGCAGAAGCTCTTTAGTTTAATTAGATCCCATTTGTCAATTTTGTCTTTTGTTGCCATTGCTTTTGGTGTTTTAGACATGAAGTCCTTGCCCATGCCTATGTCCTGAATGGTAATGCCTAGGTTTTCTTCTAGGGTTTTTATGGTTTTAGGTCTAACGTTTAAGTCTTTTTTTTTTTTTTTTTTTTTTTTTTTTTTTTTGAGACGGAGTCTCGCTCTGTCGCCCAGGCTGGAGTGCAGTGGCGGGATCTCGGCTCACTGCAAGCTCCGCCTCCCGGGTTCACGCCATTCTCCTGCCTCAGCCTCCCAAGTAGCTGGGACTACAGGCGCCCGCCACTACGCCCGGCTAATTTTTTGTATTTTTTTTTTTAGTAGAGACGGGGTTTCACCGTTTTAGCCGGGATGGTCTCGATCTCCTGACCTCGTGATCCGCCCGCCTCGGCCTCCCAAAGTGCTGGGATTACAGGCGTGAGCCACCGTGTCCGGCCACGTTTAAGTCTTTAATCCATCTTGAATTGATTTTTGTATAAGGTGTAAGGAAGGGATCCAGTTTCAGCTTTCTACATATGGCTAGCCAGTTTTCCCAGCACCATTTATTAAATAGGGAATCCTTTCCCCATTGCTTGTTTTTCTCAGGTTTGTCAAAGATCAGATAGTTGTAGATATGCAGTGTTATTTCTGAGGGCTCTGTTCTGTTCCATTGGTCTATATCTGTGTTTTGGTACCAGTACCATGCTGTTTTGGTTACTGTAGCCTTGTAGTATAGTTTGAAGTCAGGTAGCATGATGCCTCCAGCTTTGTTCTTTTGGCTTAGGATTGACTTGGCGATGCGGGCTCTTTTTTGGTTCCATATGAACTTTAAAGTAGTTTCTTCCAATTCTGTGAAGAAAGTCATTGGTAGCTTGATGGGGATGGCATTGAATCCATAAATTACCTCGGGCAGTGTGGCCATTTTCATGATATTGATTCTTCCTACCCATGAGCATGGAGTGTTCTTCCATTTGTTTGTGTCCTCTTTTATTTCATTGAGCAGTGGTTTGTAGTTCTCCTTGAAGAGGCCCTTCACATCCCTTGTAAGTTAGATTCCTAGGTATTTTATTCTCTTTGAAGCAGTTGTGAATGGGAGTTCACTCATGATTTGGCACTCTGTCTGTTATTGGTGTATAAGAATGCTTGTGATTTTTGCACATTGATTTTGTATCCTGAGACTTTGCTGAAGTTGCTTATCAGCTTAAGGAGATTTTGGGCTGAGACGATGGGGTTTTCTAGATATACAATCATGTCATCTGCAAACAGGAACAATTTGAGTTCCTCTTTTCCTAATTGAATACCCTTTATTTCCTTCTCCTGCCCGATTGCCCTGGCCAGAACGTCCAACACTATGTTGAATAGGAGTGGTGAGAGAGGGCATCCCTGTCTTGTGCCAGTTTTCAAAGGGAATGCTTCCAGTTTTTGCCCATTCAGTATGATGTTGGCTGTGGGTTTGTCATAGATAGCTCTTATTATTTTGAAATATGTCCCATCAATACCTAATTTATTGAGAGTTTTTAGCATGAAGGGTTGTTGAATTTTGTCAAAGGCCTTTTCTGCATCTATTGAGATAATCATGTGGTTTTTGTGTTTGGCTCTGTTTATATGCTGGATTACATTTATTGATTTGCGTATATTGAACCAGCCTTGCATCCCAGGGATGAAGCCCACTTGATCATGGTGGATGAGCTTTTTGATGTACTGCTGGATTTGGTTTGCCAGTATTTTATTGAGGATTTTTGCATCAATGTTCATCAAGGATATTGGTCTAAAATTCTCTTTTTTGGTTGTGTCTCTGCCTGGCTTTGGTTTCAGAATGATGCTGGCCTCATAAAATGAGTTAGGGAGGATTCCCTCTTTTTCTGTTGATTGGACTAGTTTCAGAAGGAATGGTACCGGTTCCTCCTTGTACCTCTGGTAGAATTCGGCTGTGAATCCATCTGGTCCTGGACTCTTTTTGGTTGGTAAGCTATTGATTATTGCCACAATTTCAGATCCTGTTATTGGTCTATTCAGAGATTCAACTTCTTCCTGGTTTAGTCTTGGGAGGGTGTATGTGTCAAGGAATTTATCCATTTCTTCTAGATTTTCTAGCTTATTTGCGTAGAGGTGTTTGTAGTATTCTCTGATGGTAGTTTGTATTTCGGTGGGATCGGTGGTGATATCACCTTTATCATTTTTTATTGCGTCTATTTGATTCTTCACTCTTCTTTTCTTTATTAGTCTTGCTAGCGGTCTATCAATTTTGTTGATCCTTTCAAAAAACCAGCTCCTGGATTCATTAATTTTTTGAAGGGTTTTTTGTGTCTCTATTTCCTTCAGTTCTGCTCTGATTTTAGTTGTTTCTTGCCTTCTGGTAGCTTTTGAATGTGTTTGCTCTTGCTTTTCTAGTTCTTTTAATTGTGATGTTAGGGTGTCAATTTTGGATCTTTCCTGCTTTCTCTTGTGGGCATTTAGTGCTATAAATTTCCCTCTACACACTGCTTTGAATGCGTCCCAGAGATTCTGGTATGTTGTGTCTTTGTTCTCGTTGGTTTCAAGGAACATCTTTATTTCTGCCTTCATTTCGTTATGTACCCAATAGTCACTCAGGAGCAGGTTGTTCAGTTTCCATGTAGTTGAGCGGTTTTGAGTGAGATTCTTAATCCTGAGTTCTAGTTTGATTGCACTGTGGTCTGAGAGATAGTTTGTTATAGTTTCTGTTCTTTTACATCTGCTGAGGGGAGCTTTACTTTCAAGTATGTGGTCAATTTTGGAATAGGTGTGGTGTGGTGCTGAAAAAAATGTATATTCTGTTGATTTGGGGTGGAGAGTTCTGTAGATGTCTATTAGGTCCGCTTGGTGCAGAGCTGAGTTCAATTCCTGGGTATCCTTGTTGACTTTCTGTCTCGTTGATCTGTCTAATGTTGACAGTGGGGTGTTAAAGTCTCCCATTATTAATGTGTGGGAGTCTAAGTCTCTTTGTAAGTCACTCAGGACTTGCTTTATGAATCTGGGTGCTCCTGTATTGGGTGCATATATATTTAGGATAGTTAGCTCTTCTTGTTGAATTGATCCCTTTACCATTATGTAATGGCCTTCTTGGTCTCTTTTGATCTTTGTTGGTTTAAAGTCTGTTTTATCAGAGACTAGGATTGCAACCCCTGCCTTTTTTTGTTTTCCATTTGCTTGGTAGATCTTCCTCCATCCTTTTATTTTGAGCCTATGTGTGTCTCTGCACGTGAGATGGATTTCCTGAATACAGCACACTGATGGGTCTTGACTCTTTATCCAATTTGCCAGTCTGTGTCTTTTAATTGGAACATTTAGTCCATTTACATTTAAAGTTAATAGTGTTATGTGTGAATTTGATCCTGTCATTATGATGTTAGCTGGTTATTTTGCTCGTTAGTTGATGTAGTTTCTTCCTAGTCTCGATGGTCTTTACATTTTGGCATGATTTTGCAGCGGCTGGTACCGGTTGTTCCTTTCCATGTTTAGCACTTCCTTCAGGAGCTCTTTTAGGGCAGGCCTGGTGGTGACAAAATCTCTCAGCATTTGCTTGTCTGTAAAGTATTTTATTTCTCCTTCACTTATGAAGCTTAGTTTGGCTGGATATGAGATTCTTGGTTGAAAATTCTTTTCTTTAAGAATGTTGAATATTGGCCCCCACTCTCTTCTGGCTTGTAGGGTTTCTGCCGAGAGATCCGCTGTTAGTCTGATGGGCTTCCTTTTGAGGGTAACCCGACCTTTCTCTCTGGCTGCCCTTAACATTTTTTCCTTCATTTCAACTTTGGTGAATCTGACAATTATGTGTCTTGGAGTTGCTCTTCTCGAGGAGTATCTTTGTGGAGTTCTCTGTATTTCCTGAATCCGAACGTTGGCCTGCCTTGCTAGATTGGGGAAATTCTCCTGGATAATATCCTGCAGAGTGTTTTCCAACTTGGTTCCATTCTCCCCATCACTTTCAGGTACACCAATCAGACGTAGATTTGGTCTTTTCACATAGTCCCATATTTCTTGGAGGCTTTGCTCATTTCTTTTTATTCTTTTTTCTCTAAACTTTCCTTCTCGCTTCATTTCATTCATTTCATCTTCCATCGCTGATACCCTTTCTTCCAGTTGATCGCATCGGCTCCTGAGGCTTCTGCATTCTTCACGTAGTTCTCGAGCCTTGGTTTTCAGCTCCATCAGCTCCTTTAAGCACTTCTATGTATTGGTTATTCTAGTTATACATTCTTCTAATTTTTTTTCAAAGTTTTCAACTTCTTTGCCTTTGGTTTGAATGTCCTCCCGTAGCTCAGAGTAATTTGATCGTCTGAAGCCTTCTTCTCTCAGCTCGTCAAAGTCATTCTCCGTCCAGCTTTGTTCCCTTGCTGGTGAGGAGCTGCGTTCCTTTGGAGGAGGAGAGGCACTCTGATTTTTAGAGTTTCCAGTTTTTCTGTTCTGTTTTTTCCCCATCTTTGTGGTTTTATCTACTTTTGGTCTTTGATGATGGTGATGTACAGATGGGTTTATGGTGTGGATGTCCTTTCTGTTTGTTAGTGTTCCTTCTAACAGACAGGACCCTCAGCTGCAAGTCTGTTGGAGTACCCTGCAGTGTGAGGTGTCAGTGTGCCCCTGCTGGAGGGTGCCTCCCAGTTAGGCTGCTTGGGGGTCAGGGGTCAGGGACCCACTTGAGGAGGCAGTCTGCCCGTTCTCAGATCTCCAGGTGCATACTGGGAGAACCACTGCTCTCTTCAAAGCTGTCAGACATGGACATTTAAGTCTGCAGAGGTTACTGCTGTCTTTTTGTTTGTCTGTACCCTTCCCCCAGAGGTGGAGCCTACAGAGGCAGGCAGGCCTCCTTGAGCTGTGGTGGGCTCCACCCAGTTCGAGCTTCCCTGCTGCTTTGTTTACCTAAACAAGCCTGGGCAATGGTGGGCGCCCCTCCCCCAGCCTCGCTGCCGCCTTGCAGTTTGATCTCAGACTGCTGTGCTAGCAATCAGCGAGACTCGGTGGGCGTAGGACCCTCCGAGCCAGGTGCGGGATATAATCTCGTGGTGCACCTTTAAGCCCATCGGAAAAGCGCAGTATTCGGGTGGGAGTGACCCGATTTTCCAGGTGCCGTCCGTCACCCCTTTCTTTGATTAGGAAAGGGAACTCCCTGACCCCTTGCGCTTCCCGAGGGAGGCAATGTCTCACCCTGCTTTGGCCTGCGCACGGTGCGCGCACCCACTGACCTGCGCCCACTGTCTGGCACTCCCTAGTGAGATGAACCCAGTACCTCAGATGGAAATGCAGAAATCACCCATCTTCTGCGTCGCTCAGGCTGGGAGCTGTACCTGTTCATTGTTTTGATCAGACTCACTATGTAGGTTTTTCCTGCTCTTTTTATTAACTATCAGCATATGATCTGCAAACACGATTTTTAATATTGCTTTATAGTTATACCATAATTTATTTCATATTTTAATTTTGGGGCAGTTATATTGGTTTCATTTTTTGATATTATGAACAATACTGCAATAAGCATCTTTGTACAGAAATCTTTTTGCATGTTTCTGGTTTGTCAGACTAAATTCTTACAGTGGGGGTGATAAATTGAAGGTTTTAAGAATATTAACATATATTATTAAATGAGGACAGTTATGTTTTGAGAGTGGAATCCTTAGGCTAAAGGAATGAAAGTCCTTCAGTGGAATTGCGGGCATTGGACCACTGTCAGTGACGGGGAAGAGGGAGAGAAAACAGTGATGTGAAACATCAGTCTCCCTGGAAAGCACACTGGCTTTCAGAAGGTCTCAGGAGTAGAGTTACCAGACCAGGAGGGCAAGGGGGTTGCAGACCTAGAAGGTTAAAGAGAAGAAACCAAAGATTCATCCTGAAGGGAGAAACTTTGCCTACATTTAATCCACACAGAGAGAGGGTAGCTTTGAGCTGCTTGCATAGCTTGAGGCTGCAGTCATGATCCCAGTCCCTCCTGAGGCTGCTGAGAGGAGGAGAGTGACTAGTCCTTGTTAGCATTTACCCAAAATGAGTCATGGAGAGAGAAATACACATTAGCAGGTTGAGTCTAAGCTACAATTGGCTCCAGGGACAAAGCTTCCCATTCTCAGCTGCTTCTCATTCCAGACATCTTAATTCTCCCTTGTTCCCTGGGTGAGGCATTAACTACACAGTCCGGGGTTGCTGATGAACTCTGTGTGCCACCAGAAAAGAAGCAGGCTAGTTGATTCTATCTTTTCTGGGTGGCAGTTCTCTCTCTCATGACCTATTAAGAATCCTGGAGGTGCTTTTGAAAGCCTGCTGTGGCCTGGGACCAGCTTTTGTCTCTTAAATGAAAGACGCAAACGGAATGGTATCACTTTCAGAAGGCCACTGGCAAGGGGGAAAGCTGGGAGGACTTGGTGCTTCTCAGGAAGCCTGGGGTCACAGGCCAGGCAGGTTATTGACCAGAGAGGTAGAGGGATGTATTCTGCCAAGATTGTGTGGGGTGAGTCGCTGCTGTAGAATACTAATAGCTTCTTAAGCAGGGATACAAATCCCTCAGTGGAAGGGGTGTTATTGTTGCAATGAGAAAATTCATTATCAAATGTTATACTTCAAGTAAGAGAAGGAAAGAAGAAAATGAATATTTATTGAGCTTTTATTAAATACTAGGACCCTGCTTGGCATTGAACTTGCACCTTCTCATGTAGCCTGCAACCTGCTCTATGAGGTAGGTTTGTAAATAATATAAAAGCTCATTTATAAATGTGAGGAAATTGAGTTTCAGAGAGGCTATGCTGCTTGCTGAGGTCACAGAGGTTGGGGTAGGAACCAGGAAACAGAAGTGTGGCTGATGCCTCTATAAATAAATAATGTATATAGAAATGCATAAAAAATGCAGGGCCCTAAGATTTTGAAAAATAAATAATATATAAATTTAAAAGTTCAACATTTAGGTGCACTTTATTGAGGTATAATTTACATAATGTCAAAATTTATTCATTGTAAGAGTACAATAAGTAGTTTTAGTAAATTGATAGAAAATGTACCAATACCACCACAACTCAGTTTTTGAATATTTTTATCAAGTATACTTTCTTTTATGAAATAAGGCTGTGTCTGAAATGGTGGATAGAGAAAATAATATAATTGCTGACATTATCTTTTCTAGATTCTAGAGGAAGGAAGAGGCTGTGGGTGCAGGGAACAGGTACCCACTATAGCTTCTTAGAGCAAAGCAAAGTGAGATTTCCAGAAGGGTGATTCTAAAAATCAGTGATGGCCCATATGGCATCACTTAAGGGGCTATGAAATAAACTGTGTGGAGGTCTCCTGGCATTGGTTAAGTAGATGTGCAGCATTAACACTTTCAAGTTATTGGCCTGCTGTTATAAAATTCCACTTATATTTATGTCAAACTTAGACATTCCAGGATATTGAAACATTTAGATGTAGAAAGTTGAGATCATGACTCAGTGTTTATTGTTCTTTCCTTGCCTACCTCTTGCATGCCTTTCTGGTTTCGGCTGAGACATCATTTCCTCTTGGCAGCTATCTCTGACCTTATTTTCCCCTCTTCCCAAGTATATTCCCAATATAATACTGTAATTATTGCTGTCATATTATTTAAAACTCTGTAGTATATTGCCCTTTTACCTCAATTCTTCCCAATTAGATTCTAAACTAACTGAAGGCACAGGAAATCCTCCCTCCCCCTTCAGTAGTGCAGAATTCACTTTGATTTCATTTCACTTCTAGTTTACCTAGAGAATTGGAAAGGCATAATAATCACATATTATATCACATTGAAATTTTGCTAGAAGGGGGCTAGAGAAGATTGATTGCAAAGTGTTAGAACCCACTGCTGTCTAAAGGCTAAAAATATATCAGAAAAGAGTATAAAATATTTCTGAATATTTGATATAGTTACATGAGACAAGGCTAAGGTGGTGTTGGTGGGGTTTTGGGGATGGGAGTAGTTTAAGAAGGAAGTTTCCAGTTATAAAAATAATACTTCATAAAGTCACATATGTAGTATAGGATCCCCTAAACTTCTGGATTATTTAGAAATTATTTATCTTCCCCACCCTTTGAATCCCAGAAATTTTGAAACTTTCCTAGATATTTAACATTCGACAATAGTTTTAAGCACTGACCCTGAATTTTCATTTGATTTAATTTTGTTTAACTCCAGACCTCATTTTTTTGATATTTAAAAATGTATAATATGTTGCCTGAAAAAATGACTTTCTCATATGACATTTGCAAATGTTCTATCCATAGCAATTAGATTTTCTTTTGGCCGCCATTTAACTGTATGTTTCAACTAAATGAATGTCTGGAGTTTTATTTTAAATATGAAATTTGATGCTAGTAATTATTTAACCTCTGAAGTTCTTGTTGTAATATATTTCTTAATCTTCTTGTACTCTCTATACTCTTTGTGATAGACTCTTCAGCTGATGTGTATTTAAATAACAGTTTGCACACCTCAACAAAATTCCTCTATTGTTGTTTTGTCTCTTGTTCTATAAAATATTTCTTGCGTCTTGAAATTATTATTATTTTTTAGTGCTCTCTGGCAGCAAATGTAACTGCTTCTGATTTCTTTATTTACTTCCTTGTTTGTTTATTAAGACAAAGAGGAGTCTACAGTCTGGATGCTGATCTAGGAAGCGAATTATCTCCAATTATGTTTCTGAGGACCTGTGTCTCTTCCTGACTTGATATTTCCTAGAATTTCTTAATCTATTCTAGGGATAATTTGGAAGCCACAACAGAGACACTGCTAAACAGTTTTCAACTTTGGTGGCAAAGATAGAGCAATGGGTTGGCACTGATGGCCAAGGAGAAATGCTGTGCTTTCCTTCACAGGACAAGCCAGGGTTTCTCTTTCTCCTTTCTGTTTATCGCAAAGCCATACTAAATTTTATACTAAATTGGGTTACAAATTCAGATGTAACCATAACAGTACTTTGTACTGGGTCCCACTGGGCACCTGGTGTGCCTTTGAGCCCTTTAGCAGTGACAGATGAAAAGGGCTAAATGACACACTATCAATGCTTCCTGTAACCCTAAAGATTTCATTCAACCGACAATGACAACATCTTGACTGCAAGAGCTGACCATAATTATTCATCTCAATGGTTTCTCTCTCCTTATTATACTTCTTCCCCCCATCCCATACAATGTACACTTTATTTATTTGGGTCTCATGGGCATAGAGTTGCAATTGACATTCTTCTCAGTTCATGGAACACTATCATTACAGTTCCCTCTTTTGTTTTATTTTTATTTCCTCTTTCATGCCTTATCCTCATTCCCTCCCGGTATCCACAGCCCTCTATCTCCCCATGCACCCTAACTAATATGTCAGATATATATCCTTGAGTATGTATGGATTCTTGGAAAATATAGCATGTGTGTGCATTTTTTAAGTTGGCACATATGGTGTTGCATTACAGCCTTTATTCTGATTTTGATTTTTATTACTCAACACTAACTTTTTGAGACTTAGCCATGTTTTTCTATTCACAACTAGTTCATTGCTTCTAATTCCAGCAGGGTTTTTCACAGTTTGAATCTACATTTTATTTTTCCATTTCCTTAGTGATGGATAAGTCAGGCTGCCTCCACTTCCCTGCTTCCACAAACAGAAATTTGATGAATAGCCTTGAGTCCTTTTGGACCTGGACAAGGATTTCTTTAGGGAATACATACAGGAGTAGGAGTGCTGGGATTTCAAGGACACACACTCTTATCTTCACTATCTACAACCAGATTTATTTTATTTTAGATTGATTTCTAAAATGGCTGCACAGGCTCACAGTTTCAGTAGCGGTGCAGGAAGCTTTCCATTTCTGCACAACCTTACCAATACTTGGTATTATTTGACCTTCTAACTTCTACTAATGTGATGGGTATTAAGTGGCATCTTATCATTTTTACTTGCATTTCTCTGATTATTGGTAATGTTAGCTTTTTAAATTTCTTTTTTGTGAATTATCTTAATTTTTTGTTTAAGTTTTGTTTTTAATAGTTTCCTTTTTCATCAAACCATGTCTTATTGCAAAATATATATTAATAAGTAATAACTAGCTTTCCTATTTTAGTGTGCACCCATGCCTCTATCTTTCTGCATGCTGACCATGGCTTCCTATCAGCACTTATAATCAATGAGTTAGTATAATTCTAGCTAAAATGAGCTTGATATATCTGTTGGTCTATATGGCCATTTTCAAGAAAACATAGCATTTCCATTGGCGTTTTAAAGTGGGGATAGAACATTAATGGCACACCTCTAAGAACTCCTAGGAATGTGCTCTCCTAAAGGAAATTAAAATACAACTCTTCTAAAACCTAGAATATTTTTTCATGGATTTAGGAATCTTTAGGGCTGATTATTTGACTGATATATGAAGTGGTACTGCTTCACAAAGGAAGGGCTTTATAAACCCACACTGAGTGCTGCAAAGTAGGCAATGCTGTTAGAATAAGATATTTTTGTTTCTCTCAAAAATTCATTCATTTAAGAATATTTATTTAGAAGAATTAGATATAGATTATGCCTTTAGATACAGTCTAGTTATCACACAATGTTCCCGCCTTTGGAGGTTGCATCTTTCTTCCAGTGATACTATACTTTTTCAAAACATTGTGGGACTCTGACTACTTTATAGTTATAAAAAAAAATCTAAGTGACTATAACGTAGGTCACCAGTTTGGGACTAAGAACTCTGAACTACTCTTCAAGAGAGCTGAGTTAAAATTCAGCTTGCCACTCTTATCTGTGTGGCACTGTGCAAGATACTTAACATCTCAGACAATAATCATGGCTCTCTTACAGGATTGGTAGAAATGAGACAAGATAGGTGAAAGCTCGAGCCCAGTGATGGGCACACAATACTTGCAAATATTGCTTATATTGAAATCCCAATTCATTTCAAAATCATATTGAGCTTCATAGAGTAGCCCTTGTCTAGGTTGAAATCCAGAGAGACTTGCCTTCTGATCAGCGGTGAATGAAAAAAATAAAATCCAGAGAGACAGAATGCACATGAGTATAAGATTTTGTTGGTGGTGTTTAGTTATGTCTTGGTGAGACTCCACAATTGCCCTCTGTTTTCCCTCACATCATCCTGACAGTGTCATCTGTCTGTGTGGTAACAACAGTGTTAATTTTGGGCGGTTACAGCATGACCTGAGGGATTCCAGAAACCTACAGGGAGAGGACTCTCTGTTTCTGCTGGACATAAGTTCATTCAACATAGCATTCCTAACTATGGCACCTATGACTGACAGAAACTGCAAAGTTGACCTTGGATTGTAGGGACAGATTTGTACCCTGCCTTTACTATTCAAATAAAGCAATTGTGGGTGTTTGAAAAATACCTGTCATTGATATCTTTCTTATGTCCTGTTTAAGTTCTTCTAAAGTCACATTCATCTTTTGGGTTCTAAGAATGCAGTGGAATAGATCCAGGTTCAAAGTTGCATTCTCATTTTAACTAGCCACATGACCTTGAGCAAGTCATTTAATCTCTTTGAGCCTCCATTTCCTCATTTATAAAAGGAAAAAAAAGGTACTGACCTTGCAGAGCTGTGTAAGGATTAAATGAGACAATGCAATTAAACCCCAAGTACTTCGCCAGGCACATTGTAGGTTTTTAGTAAATTTTACATCCTTTCTGATTCACGAGAAAAAGTGGGTTGCTCTGAGTTGAAAGCCACATGTGTCAGTGTGTGATTCCAAATTGAGCATCCTTCTCAGATTCCTATCAGGTACTCTAAACTGCTTTCTTATTTTGACAGATGCTAGACTCTCTATTTGCAGGGCTTAGTCCTGTGACCATGCCAGTATGCAAATGAAGCCTTCTCAAGAGCTGCTGAATGTCAGGAAGACAGCACTTCTGCCAGACTATTAATGTGCTATCTATTGCCATTGCTGCTCAAGCTCTCAAGAGTACCTTTTAAGATTTTAAAACCAAAGAGCTTCAAGAGTTTGCCAAGGCAGAGCATACACTTTCTCATTGCAGCTTGAGAGAAAAGACTGGAGATAAGGACCGACAAGAGGTTCAGTGACTTATTCACTGGCTCTGGATGCAAATCTGTGCTGGAGTTCTAATACCATGGGGTTAGAGCACAAAGTTTTGAGGAAGGAGAATAAATAACATCCTGGGGAGAAGGAAGTGTTAACAACCTCATTAGAATGATGTGAAAAAAGTGGCCTACTCTGCCAGTATTGAGGGGCTCTTTCTGCTCAATTTGCCTAGGACCCATTTGCCAGGCTGGAGCATCCACAGCTAGGGTATGAGTCAAGGGTGGAAAGGAGAAAAATAAAGCCTATGTCAAGGAATGTCTGGCTGAGTTGGACAGCAAAGGTCTTTACCCAGGACTGCAGAAGGCAGAAGTCTGTAAATAGAACACAAAGCAAGAAGCTAGGGAACTCAGGTACTTTGTGGTCTATTTACAAATTTCCTTTGCATCTATTATCTGATATTAGCACTGTTCTCTAGCTTTGACCTGGGCTTTGCCCTTGAGTACTCTAAGACAACAAACCATGCATGAATATCAGAAGCCTGTAATAATAATAACAGTGTTAGTAAGGATTTTTCAGAGAAATAGAGTTAATAGAAAAAAACATATATAATAAATATATATGAAGATTCATTACAGACATTGGCTCACTTGATTATGCAGCCAGGAAGTCCCACCATCTGCTGTCTGCAAGCTGGAGAACCAGGAAAGCCAATGTTGTAATTAAGTCTGAGTCTCAAACCTAGAACCGGGGGGGAAAATGGTATAAGTCCTGGTCTGAGTCTGAAGGTCTGAGAACCACGGACTGTAATGCCTGAGGGCAGTAGAAGATGGATATCCTAGCTCAAGAAGAGAGAAAAAATTCACTGATGCTTGTCCACATTGGTGAGGGAAAATCTTTACTCAGTCTACTGAAAACATTCTTACAGACACAGCAGAAGTAATATTTTACCAGCTATCAGGGCATTCCTTAGCCCAGGCAAGTTGACACACAAAATTAACCATCATGATTATTATTATAATGGTTATTATTTAAAAACTGGGGCAGGCTCTATTGTGTGTAAGTAGGTCTTATAGCTCGAAGGAATCAGGCAGAATTGTGCAACTTGCTTCAGTATATATTTCTAACTTTTGGTTTGTGCATTGGTTAGCTATTGTTATGTAACAAATAACTAGAAAGATCTTAGATGTATACAATAAGCATTTATGTAGCTCATATATCTGTGAGTCACTTGGGGTATCTCTGCTTCAAGCTGAGAGTCCAGGTGGCTCAAGTCTGCTTCATTTGTTTTATTCTGAGGTTCAGGATGAAGGGACAGCTGCTACCTGGAGAACATGCTTTTCAAAGCAATGACAGCGGCACAAAAGAGCAAACAAAAATGTGTGAGCCTGTGAAGGCCTAGGTTTGGAACTGGCATACTTTCCCTCCTGCCCATCTGTGTATACTTGGCCAGAGAAAGTCATAAGATCAATCCCAAAGGTAAAGATTTGGGAGGTGTAGTCCATCAATGAAGGCAGGAAAAAAATTCTTTTTTCAGTCTCATAGCATAGAGCCTACATACAGGGAGAGCAAAGAGCTGGGGCCAGTAATCCCAGCCATGAATTAATAAGGAGACCTAAATTTATGAAATTTCCATGTTATTAAATATCTTCTTATTCATTTTTTTAATTATTATTATACTTCAAGTTTTAGGGTACATGTGCACAATGTGCAGGTTAGTTACATATGTATACATGTACCATGCTGGTGTGCTGCACCCATTAACTCGTCATTTAGCATTAGGTATATCTCCTAATGCTATCCCTCCCCCTTCCCCCCACCCCACAACAGTCCCCAGAGTGTGATGTTCCCCTTCCTGTGTCCATGTGTTCTCATTGTTCAATTCCCATCTATGAGTGAGAACATGTGGTGTTTGGTTTTTTGTCCTTGTGATAGTTTACTGAGAATGATGATTTCCAATTTCATCCATGTCCCTACAAAGGACATGAACTCATCATTTTTTATGGCTGCATAATATTCCATGGTGTATATGTGCCACATTTTCTTAATCCAGTCTATCATTGTTGGACATTTGGGTTGGTTCCAAGTCTTTGCTATTGTGAATAGTGCCACAATAAACATACGTGTGCATGTGTCTTTATAGCAGCATGATTTATAGTCCTTTGGGTATATACCCAGTAATGGGATGGCTGGGTCAAATGGTCTTTCTAGTTCTAGATCCCTGAGGAATCGCCACACTGACTTCCACAATGGTTGAACTAGTTTACAGTCCCACCAACAGTGTAAAAGTGTTCCTATTTCTCCACATCCTCTCCAGCACCTGTTGTTTCCTGACTTTTTAATGATTGCCATTCTAACTGGTGTGAGATGGTATATCATTGTGGTTTTGATTCGCATTTCTCTGATGTCCAGTGATGATGAGCATTTTCTCATGTGTCTTTTGGCTGCATAAATGTCTTCTTTTGAGAAGTGTCTGTTCATATCCTTTGCCCACTTTTTGATGGTGTTGTTTGTTTTTTTCTTGTAAATTTGTTTGAGTTCATTGTAGATTCTGGATATTAGCCCTTTGTCAGATGAGTAGGTGCGAAAATTTTCTCCCATTTTGTAGGTTGCCTGTTCACTCTGATGGTAGTTTCTTTTGCTATGCAGAAGCTCTTTAGTTTAATTAGATCCCATTTGTCAATTTTGTCTTTTGTTGCCATTGCTTTTAGTATTTTAGACATGAAGTCCTTGCCCATGCCTATGTCCTGAATGGTAAGGCCAAGTTTTCTTCTAGGGTTTTTATGGTTTTAGGTCTAACATTTAAGTCTTTAATCCATCTTGAATTAATTTTTGTATAAGGTGTAAGGAAGGGATCCAGTTTCAGCTTTCTACATAGGGCTAGCTTTGTGATTTTTAGTACTGTAATGAGGGTTAAGGTTTCCCTCGAATGCACATATGCCAAGCACAATGGGATATGAAATATCTTTGCATGTGTCATTTCCCTGTTCCAATGAACATTTATGAAGCCAAGCCAAGTAGTGAAATTGAAGTGTGAAGTTCATGGAGTTTGTCTTTTTAAAATGTTTTGTTTTGCTCTTGAAGAACAATATGCAATTCAAAAATTGCACAAATTATAAGCATATATCTTAAAGAATTTCCACAAATTGACCACAGCAGTATTACCAGCACCAAGATTGGTTTACAGAATATGACCTCTATCCCACAAGTTCATTCTATGCCACCTTCCAGTAATTATTTCTCAGGAGTAGCCACTATTCTGACTCCTAGCCCTATTGATGCCATTTAGAACTTTGTATAAATGGATTGAATCATTTATCAGATTCTCTCTTTTGAATGTCGAATCTCTCTTTTACGTGGATTTCTTCATTCTCTGAAGTTCCCCCTTTCTATGACTTTCTAAGTGTCATAAGGAGCCCTCCACGTTTTACATCCTCCTTAAGGGATTTCATATCTTATTGGCAATTTGACTGGTATGCATCAGTGTGCTAGCATTTAAAAATCATTTTTATCTCTAAATAACAATAGTAGGTGTATCCCCTGGTATAGGTATTATGGGCAATGGTGTGACAGAAAGGGAGGCAGTTCTGTGGAACTTCTATATCTTCACTGATTTTTAATCTAGTCATTATACCATTTTTAAGAGAGGTATGTTTAAATCTGCAGCTATGATTGCTTATTTGTCTATCTCCCTTTAGTTCTATCAAGTTTTGCTTCATATACTTTGATTTTTAAAAAATATTTTATTAACATGTAACATGGAGAGAACCACAGAGTGATTAACCCCACACTTTAAATGTTTGTAATTAGATGCATATACATTTGTAATGATCATGTTTTCCTGACATATTGACCCTTTTAATATTTTTAAGGGTCTCTGTGTCTCCAGTCCATTAATGTACTTTGAGGAACTGGGAAGATGCTAGGAGTGTGGAGCTTGGTGAGCCTGTGGTGTGTTCTCTCCTCAGGACCACCCTCTAACCATGGAGGGAGTCTTGTTATATGAACCTTTGTATAGGTCAGGATCCTGGGAGAAAATAGATGACAAACTTGAAAATTTTAGTAGCAGAGTTTATTTTTATTTATTTATTTATGATCTGAGTTCTCATCATGTATTTTGTTTGGTTTGTCTCTTGTGTTTGTACCAATGTTTTAATGACTTCCATCTGCAGACTTTATTTCAATTATTACATTTGATTAAAAGCTTAAATATTTTGGTTCTTTATTCATTGAATACCTTGATTAAAGATATTCAATAGATTTTGGGAAAAAATGCAACCAAAATTTAGGTGGCTCTTTGCACACATACAAGAAGAGAGTTTAATTAAGGAATTACTTATGCAGTGTGGACAGAGTTAAGGCAGGCAACGAAGGATGGGCAAGGCAAAAGCAAGGGGCACTCACCTTTTGCTGGGAGAAGGCCTGGGTAATTAATCTACTTCATATTTTTCTTGCTGTATATGTGGGTGTGTACATGGTGATGCTAAAATAATAATTCCATGGGTTTTTCTGCTAATTCTAGACGTTGAAAAACCAACAAAATGAGGACAAAGATAGAAAAAGTTTCTTGTTTGTATACAAGTAATCATCATTCATGTATATTAGAAATCATTTAGGTAAAATTATCAAGCAGCATAACATGATAATGGTTAGCATTAGATGTATTATTCTATTAGGATTAGAAACTCAGCTCATTTTTACTCATCTTTCAAAGTTTCTAGACCACATTAGATAACAATGAATAGAAGTTTTGAAAAAGGTAGAATAGATGTGTATTCTATTACTACCCCTTTTACTGAGCGAGTGAGTAACTTAGAGAAAATTCCCAGTAAATGAGTGCATGACATTTCTCTGAAGATATTGCTGAAGCATTTTAAGATCCTTGGAGGAGAGTTTTATTTTCTACCAGGGAAGAATCTTGGAGTTCCAAATAATGAAACAAATAAAAGAGGAGGAGGAGGAGGAGGACACTGGCCACAAAACAGGGCTCAATAAATATTTATAAGTTAATAGATGGAATAATCCTGCAAGAGTCATGTCTGTAGTTTGCTGCTTTTAAAATGCCATTAGCTTTTTCTACTTATGTCAGAACAGTGATATATCAGGTAAACATCAGTCTCTCTATGTCCTCTCTTTAGAATTTCCTTCTCATTCTTATTTGCCTGCAAACTGACTTCACTGATAGCTTCCTGGTAAATGGCTCCCATGAACTGTTACGGCTCATAAGTCCCATTATCTCTCTGAAAAGTTTCTTTTGTCACTTAGGAATATATTCTGCTGAAAATAAAAGAGAGGCCAAGTGAGAGAAGTTTAAACAAGGGATTTGCTTTTCTCACTTCGTAAAAAGCGTAGAGGCAGGCAATCCAAGACTGGTGCAGCTGCCCAGTGATGCCCCTGGGAACTTGGGCTCCATTTTTCCATGCTCCGTCCTCACTGGGTAGCTCTTCATTCTCATGATTGTCACCTCATGGTGAAAGATGGTGACTGCATCTCTAGGCCTCATGATTGCATTATGAGTAGAAAGAATGGTGAATGGTGGAGGAATGTCTTCTTTTATCTAGGAAGAGGCACCCACCTCAGGGACTTTGCCTATGTTTCATTGGCCATACATGTGCCATTGGACCACCACTGTCTATAAGGGAGGTTGGGAAGTTACATATTTTTAGATGGCTATATTGCTACCCTGAACAAATCAGGTTAGAAGGAAAGGAGTGAAGAAGGAATAATGGCTACTGCATAGACAATTAACAGTGTCTATATCAGCAACTCATCTGTTATGTAATTGTAGTGACAGGTTCTCTACTTTTGCCCAGTTTTCAAAGTCTGCTGTCTATATCAGATAACAACCAATAGAAGTTTCAAAAACATAAAATAAATATGTATTCTAGTGCTACCTCTGTTGCTGAGTGGGCATATTTCACTTAAGACGTATCCTAGGAACGGCCCTTGCTTTATGCACATACAGACAGAAATGAGGCACACCTGTTCCTGCCCTCAGAGTCTATAACCCGAAGGATAGCATCAGCAAAGGGTCCTGGAGGTAAGTTGGACTCTCTGTTTCTCTTTTCTCTGCCTTTAAGAATAACAGAGTCCTTGAGTATGAGATACTCATTTGTTTTGTAGTGTCAGACACTGTAATTGGGATGCATGCTATATCTATCAAGTAAGAATCAACCCCCCTATTGTTGCAGTGGAAAAAAATAAAGAGAAACATTAATTTAATAGTTGGTGGCTTTGCGAAGGACAGTATAAATCCTGTTCAGATAAAGTTTCACTGTGTTGTTTGCCTGAGCTTAACCTCTGTGCCAAGAGTATCATTCCTGAGTTTTTTTTTGTCTTTGTAGCTCACAAATATACCACTCCTCTCATTAAACCAATATAATGGAGTAGAGTTAGCAAAATGACATCATAATACCATCATCTTGCATTTGTGTTTCATAGCCTTTTCTGCATACATTACTTTTAATTTGATTTCCACAATCACTGGTTAGAGTCAGGTACGGCACCAGGAGGAATAAGGTTCTATTGTAATGGCGAATGTCAGTGTTAGTTTGATGTGAATAGCATTGAATCTGTAAATTACTTTGGGCAGTATGGCCATTTTCACAATATTGATTCTTCCTATCCATGAGCATGGAATGTTTTTCCATTTGTTTGTGTCCTCTCTTATTTCCTTGAGCAGCGGTTTGTAGTTCTCCTTGAAGAGATCCTTCACATCTCTTGTTAGCTGTATTCCTAGGTATTTTATTCTCTTTCTAGCAATTGTGAATGGGAGTTCATTCATGATTTGGCTCTCTGTTTGTCAATTGTTGATGTATAGGAATGTCTGTGATTTTAACACATTGATTTTGTATGCTGAGACTTTGCTGAAGTTGCATATCAGCTTAAGGAGTTTCTGGGCTGAGATGATTGTGTTTTCTAAATATAGAATCATGTCTTCTGCAAACAGAGACAATATGACTTCCTCTCTTCCTACTTGAATACGCTTCATTTCTTTCTCTTGCCTGATTGCCCTGGCCAGAGCTTCCAATACTATGTTGAATAGGACTGGTGAGAGAGGGCATCTTTTTATTGTACCAGTTTTCAAAGAAAATGCTTCTAGCTTTTGCCCATTCAATATAATATTGGCTGTGGGTTTGTCATAAATAGTTCTTATTATTTTTAGATATGTCCCATCAATACCTAGTTTATTGAGAGCTTTTAACATGAAGGGATGTTGACTTTTATCAAAGGCCTTTTCTGCATCTGTTGAGATAATCATGTGGTTTTTGTCTTTTGTTCTGTTTGTGTGATGGATTATGTTTATTGATTTGCTTATGTTGAACCAGCCTTGCATCCCAAGGATGAAGCTGATTTGATCATGATGGATAACTTTTTAGATGTGCTGCTGAGTTCAGTTTGCCAGTATTTTATCGAGAATTTTTGCATCAATATTCATCAGGAATATTGGCCTGAAGTTTTCTTTTTTTGTTGTGTCTCTACCAGGTTTTGGTATCAGGATGATGCTGACTTTATAAAATGAATTAGGGAGGAGACCCTCCTTTTCAATTATTTGGAATAGTTTTGGAAGAAATGGTGTCAGCTCCTCTTTGTACCTCTGGTAGAATTTGATGTGAATACGGGTAGTCCTGGGCTTTTTTTGGTTGGTAGGCTATTAATTACTGCCTTAATTTCTGAACTTGTTATTGGTCTATTCAGAGATTCAACTTCTTCCTGGTTTAATCTTGGGAGGGGGTATGTGTCCAGGAATTTTTCCATTTCTTGTAGATTTTCTAGTTTATTTGAGCAGAGGCATTTATAGTATTCTCTGATGGTAGTTTGTCTTTTGGTGGGGTGAGTGGTGATATCCCCTTTATCATTTTTTATTGTGTCTACTTGATTCTTCTCACTGAGCCTGTATAGCCAAGACAATCCTAAGCAAAAAGAACAAAGCTGGAGACATCATGCTACCTGAGTTCAAACTATACTACAAGGCTACAGTAACCAAAACAGCATGGTACTGGTACCATAACAGACATATAAACCAATGGAACAGAATAGAGATCTCAGAGATAACACCACACATCTACAACCATCTGATCTTTGACAAATCTGACAAAAACAAGTAATGGGGAAAGGATTTCATATTAAATAAATGGAAAACTGGCTAGCCATATGCAGAAAACTGAAACTGGACCCCTTCCTTACACCTTATACAAAAATTAACTAAAGATAGATTAAAGACTTAATTGTAAAACCCCAAACTATAAAAACCCTAGAAGAAAACCCAGGTAATACCATTCAGGACATAGGCATGGGAAAGACTTCATGACAAAAATACCAAAAGCAATGGCAACAAAAGCCAAAATTGACAAATGAGATCTAATTAAACTAAATAGCTTCTGCACAGCAAAAGAAATGATCATCAGAGTGAACAGGTAACTTACAGAATGAGAGAAAATTTTTTCAATCTATCCATCTGACAAAGGTCTAATATCCAGAATCTACAAAGAACTTAAACAAATTTATAAGAAAAAAAAACAACCCCACCAAAAAATGGGCCAAGAATATGAACAGATACCTCTCAAAAGAAGACATTTTTGTGGCCAACAAACATATGAAAAAAAGCTCAACATCACTGATCATTAGAGAAATGCAAATCAAAACCACAATGAGATACCATCTTATACCAGTCAGAATGGCAATTATTAAAAAGTCAAGAAACAATAGATGCTTGTGGGACTGTGAAGAAATAGGAATGCCTTTACATGTTGGTGGGATTGTAAATTAGTTCAATCATTGTGGAAGACATGACAAAAATTCCTCAAGAATCTAGAACCAGAAATACCATTTGACCCAGCAATCCCATTACTGGGTATATACCCAAAGGAATATAAATCATTCTGCTGTAAAGACACATGCACATGTATGTTTACTGCAGCACTATTTACAGTAGCAAAGTCACGGAACCAACCCAAATACCCATCAATGATAAACTGGATGAAGAAAATATGGTACATATATACCATGGAGTACTATGCACCCATAAAAAGGAATGAGATTATGTCATTTGCAGGGACATAGATGAAGCTGGAAACCATCATCCTCAGCAAACTAACACAGGAACAGAAAACCAAACACCACATGTTCTCACTCATAGGTGGGAGTTGAACAATGAGAACACATAGACACAGGAAGGGGAACAACACACACTGGGGCCTGTTGAGGGGTAGTGGGGGCAAAGGGAGGGAACCCAGAGGATGGGTCAATAGGTGCAGCAAATCACCATGACAAACGTATACCTATGTAACAAACCTGCACCTTCTGTACATGAATCCCAGAACTTAAAATAAAATAAAAACAAAAGTAATGGCAAAGACTACAATGACTTTTGTACCAACCAAGTATCATTTTCTCTGTACATAAGGAGACTGATGCTGAAAGAGTAGAACTTGGTTTAAGCCAAGTTCTTAGCAGGTACTTCCCCAACTTCTGATGCCAACTTGAAAACCCACTATGGAACCAGCTCCCACTTGATTTAGAAGGTCATAAATGCTAGCTTTCTAGCATTTTTGGTGATTTGGTGCTCATCTCCTGCTTTATTCACCTTTTTTCTCTGAGTCCCTATTTCTTATTCTACACACTTTCCTGATATGACAATAATTGGAATCATTCTCAACTCTCCCCTTGATCTTGTACCTGAGTTCTGATATGGTTGCTTGTTTGACATGCCCCCACTCGTTGCCCTGGTTAGTTCCACTCACACTCATGCTGTGCCCAAGGCCACTTGTGCTACCCATTATGGTGGAGCAAGTCATGCTACTTCCTTTGTATCAATTTGCCTTATCATCTTTATACAAATTTTCCAGCCACAATGTATCTCTGTTTAGAATAAAACCATAACCAGAGTATTACTTCCCTCCCAACTTTTAAATTTTCTGTAAAGACTAATGTATCAGACTGGCATTGCATCTTACATTCAGCTAATCATTGGTTCCCTGCAGCGTCTTCCTCACCTCCAAATCAGGAAGTCAGATTCATTCTCTTGCTTTTTCTTTGCAGTTACAAAATAGCTTTCTCTCCCTTTCTTATTGTCCTAATAGTTCTTAAAATTTTCTTGAGTTCTGTTTCTTGTTCTATATCCCTTTCATATCTGGAAAACCTATACAGCTACCTGACTTCTGTTTTTTCACCTTTTTTGGCCAGAGGCTTAGCTAATCAGGGTTATAGTTAATTGTTTCCTGCTACCTCAGACCTGTTTTCTATCTCTGTCCTCCATGTTCCTGTCACTGGCAACAACGTTGCTGGTCCCTCTTATCTAATTTTTAATTTCTCTATTGTGCCTCTTCCAAGAAAACTATATTATAATGTAGAGGGAAACCTAGGAAGGAAAAACGTTCCCAATCACATCAGCAACTTGTTGCATCTTTATTCCTGTTTACTTCTCTGCCTGACAGCTGTCCCATAATTTCCCTGTGGACTGTGGCTTCCTTAACATGGAGTCCCATGCCCTAGTCCTCAGCCAGGTTACTGTTGGCATCTCTCAGTTATTTTCCAGCTGATAAGAATAGATTAAGAACAGGTGGCCAGCTTCTTTGGCCCAGAGCCAGGAAGTAGAAAGGTTGAGTAAAAAATTAAAATTATTTTCAGTATTTCAAAGTTAAATCATCTTAGACTCCAAGTTGTGACCTGGAAGAGAATGTCAAAAAAAGAATTGGAAGAATGTGAAGAGGAAAATAATGGAGGCCCAGTATAACAAGCCCTAACTAGATTATTGGCCTCTAGAACTTATGTCCTATTTCCAGCTCTTCCGCCAACCAAGTAGTTGTGTGATTTGGAGCAAATCAGTTCACCTTTTTGAATCTTGTAACTAGTCTAGTTATCAGGTCTTTCCAGTTTGAAGATGCTAAAAAAGAAAACAGCTAAATTATTCCATCTCTCTTTAGGGCATCAGACATGCCTGTTTTATTATCTTCTAAATTTTATTCCCAAAGTGTGTTTATAAGTAGGAGTAATTTTCCTGGGTTATTCCCAAGGGTACAAACTAGAGACCATTCATTATCTAGTCTCTGTCTCTCTTTTTTTCAGCTTTATTGAGGTATAATTGACAAACAAAATTATATGTAATCAAGGTGACAATATGATGTTTTGATATACATATACCCTGTGAAATTATTGCCACAGTTAAGTAACACATCCATCATCTCATATAGTTACCTTGTTTTGCATGTGTAATGAGAACACTTAAGATCTACTCCGTCAGCACATTTCAAGTAATAATACAGTATTATTAAGTATAGTCACAATGCTATACATTAGATCTCTTTTTATAAAGAGACAGCCCTGTTCTGTGCCTTGCTCTTTTAAACACTAAGCCTGTGTCCTCCATTTTTGTGAATTGGTCTGACATAGCAGTTTTCAAATTTGAGAGTGCATCACAATCACTTAAAAGTTTATTAAAATCATGGCTGGGTGTGGTAACTCATGCCTGTAATCCCAGCATTTTGGGAAGCTGAGGCAGGTGGATCACCTGACATCAGGAGTTTGAGACCAGCCTAGTCAACATGGTGAAATCCCGTCTCTACTAAAAATACAAAAATTAGCTGGGGGTGGTGGTGCATCCTTGTAATCCCGGCTACTTGGGAGGCTGAGGTGGGAGGATCACTTGAACCCTGGAGATGGAGGTTGCAGTGAGCCAAGATTGTGCCACTGCACTTCAGCCTGGGTGACAGAGAGAGACTTTGTCCCCCACCCCCCCAAAAAAAGTTTATTAAAACATAGACTGCTGTGTCCTACCCAAGAGTTTCAGAAGGTCTGTAATGAGGCCCAAGAATTTGCATTTCTAAATTCTGGCTCTGTCATTTACTGTTTGTGTGTCTTTGAGGAAATTTATTTTATCAGTCTAAGCCTTGGTTTTCTCATCCATAAAATGAGGCAAAAATATTTTGTTTCCTATGGTAACTTCTGCTGTGTACCAGTGCCTACAATTTTGCCAAAATTTATTTCCTATTCCCTTGTTTTCTTCCAACTTCATTTGAAAGATTCTAGGAAAATAATCAGATCATGGATTATCATTAGATAGCAACCATAGTCTCACAAGAAGACCATTTGGGGGGAAATAAATATCTATTCTAAGAGTCTTGTGAAAGGATATAATTTTAGCAAGTTCAATAGAAATCTTTCTGAACACTCAAGAAAGTGAGAAGAAAAGAATCTTCTCACTTAAAACTCTCAAATATTTTTCAGTTATAGCATATGTGGCCCAGATATATTAGCATTTGTTATATATCTAGAATCTAAAGAGAATTATATCAGGTCTAAAATGAGGCATAGTATAATCACTGGACCTGACAGAGCAGGGCTGTCTTTTCTGTATGACCAGGGTGAGTCAGAGCTCTGTACCCCACTGTCCACCAGCCCCTCCCAGAGTCCCTGTCTGGCATGCCAGAATGCAGCACAGCCTCAGCTAACCTACCAGGGTGCTTTTGCCAGTAACCACTGCCATAGCACTTTCTTTGGAGGCCCCCCCACCCCACCCTACTGGAGTGCTTTTGCTGACAGCCTCCCACCAGAGCGCTTCCTACTCATTCCCCCCTGCCCCACCACTGCCCTAGACACAGTGCTGTTGCCAGTGGTCCAGGAGCACCTTGACCCCTCCAGCCAAGCTGGTTCTTGACCTTGAGAAATTAGAGGACAAAGTCATGGGCACAGTCCCAGCCACCCAAGGTTAGAGCATGCAGACCAGGAGTGCAGAGCTGAGCCTTGGCCCTCTGAAAGCATCTAGAAATGAAGCCATTCACCTATACCCAACTTTCAGCAGAGTCAAACCCTCAAGGACAGTAACGAATATAAAACAAAAAGCCCTATCCAAAGAACTTTTTATTTAAATTCAAAGGATAAAGGAAAATCAGTTCTCACAGATGAGAAAGAACCAGTGCCAAAATCCTGGCAAAAGTGTCTTCTTACATCCAAATGATCATACTAGCTCCCTAGCAATGGTTCTTAACCAGATTGAAATGGCTGAAATGTCAGACATAGAATTAAGAATCTATGGCAAGGAAGTTCATCGAGATACAAGAGAAGATTCAAACTCAATCTAAGGAAAACAGTAAAATGATCCAAGGATTGAAAGATGACATAACCTTTTAAGAAAGAATCAAACTGAACTTCTGGAAATGGAAAATTTACTACAGGAATTTCAAAATACAATTGGAAGCATGAAGAATAGAACAGATCGAGCTGAGAAAAGAATCTCAGAACTTGAAAACCACTCCATCAAAGAAACACAGGCAGACAAAAATAAAGAAAACAGAATTTAGAAAAATGAATAAAACCTCTGAGAAACATGGGATTATGCAAAGAGACCAAACCTACAACTCACTGGCATTCCTGAAAGGGAAAGAGAGAGAGGAAGCAACATGGAAAACATATTTGAGGATACAGTCCATGAAAATTTCCCCAGTCTTGCTTTCAGCATGCATATTCAAGAAATTCAAAGAACCTGTTTAAGATACTATATAAAGTAACTATCCCCAAGGGACATACCCATCAGATTCTCTAAGGTCAATGCAAAAGAAAAAAATCTGAAAGGCAGCTAGAGAAAAGAGGCAGGTCAATTACAAAGGGAACTCGTCAGGCTAAAAGCAGACATTTCAGCAGAAACCTTATAAGCCAGAAGAGACTGGGGGCCTATTTTCAACATCATTAAAGAAAAGAAATTCAAACCAAGAATTTCATATCCTGTCAAACTAAGCTTCACAAGCAAAGGAGAAATAAGATTCTTTTCAAACAAGCAAATGCTAAGAGAATTCACTACCACTAGGCACACCGTACAAGAGGTCCTAAAGGGAGTGCTAAACATTAAACATGGGAAAGAAAGATACATGCCACCACAAAAACCACACTTTACATTTACTATTGACACTATAAAGCAACTATACAATTAAGTTCTATATAACAACTATCTAACACCACAATGATAGAATCAAATCTTCCCATATCAATATTGATATGTAAAGTTTCAGGATACAAAATCAATGTACAAAAATTAGTAGCATTTCTATGCACAAATAACATCCAAGTGAGAGCCAAATCAAAAACCTAATCCCATTTACAATAGCCACAAAAGGAACAAAATACCTAGATATACAGCTCACCAAGGAAGTGAAAGATCTCTAATTAGAATTACAAAATACTGCTGAAAGAAATCAGAGATGACACAAACAAATGGAAGAACATCCCATTGTGCATGGATTGGAAAAATCAATATTGTTAAGATGGTCATACTTTTCAAAGAAATTCACTATCCTATCAAACTATCAATGCCGTTTTTCACAGGATTAGAAAAAAACTAATCTAAAATTCATATGAAGCTAAAAAAGGAGCCTGAATTACTGAAACAATCCTGAACCAATAGAACAAAGTCAGAGGCATCACGCTACCTGACTTCAAATTATACTACAATGCTACAGTAACCAAAACAGTATGGTACTGGTACAAAAACAGACACATAGAACAGTGGAACAGAATAGAGAACTTAGAAATAAAGCCACACACCTACAACCACCTGATCTTCAACCAAGTCAACAATAACAAACAATGGGCAAAGGACTCCCTATTCAATAAATGGTGCTGGGACAACTAGCTATCCATATGCAGAAGAATGAATGTGGACCCCTATCTTTCACCATGTACAAAAATTAACTAAAGATGGATTAAAGACTTAAATGTAAGACCTAAAACATTAATAACCCTAGAAGGGAAGGAGGCAAAGCAACATGGCCAAACAGAAGCTTCCACCAATTATCCTCCCCAAATTTGGAACACCGAATTCGACAACTATTTACACAAAAGAAACCCTCATAAGAACCAAAAATCAGGTAAACAATCACAGTACCTGGTTTTAACTTCATATTGCTAAAAGAAGCATTGAAGAGGATAGGAAAGACAATCTTGAATTACCAACAAAACCCCTCCCTCATCTCCTGGCAGTGGCCATGTGGCACAGAAAGAGAATCTGTGTGTTTGGGGAAGTAGAGCACAGTATTTGTGAGACTTTGCATTGGAACTCAGTGCTGCCCTGTTACAGCAGAAAACAACACCAGGCAGAACTCAGCCCATGCCCACAGAGGGAGCATTTAGATGAGCCCTAGATAGAGGGGAATTACCCATGCCAGTGGTTGGAACTTGAGTTTCAGCAAGCCTAACCACTATGGGGTAAAGGGCTCTGGGGTCCTCAATAAACTTCAGTGGCAGTCTAGGCCACAAGGACTGCAACTCCAAGGCAAGTCCAAGTGCTATAATGGGCTTGGAGCCAGTAGCCTTTGGGGGCACGTGACCTAGTGAAACACCAGCTGGGGTAACTAAAGGAGTCCTTGTGTCATCCCTCCCCCAACCCCAGGCTGTGCAGCTTGTAACTCCTAAAGAGGCCTCTTCTATCTGCTTGAGGAAAGAAGAAAAAGGAGTAAAGAGGACTTTGTTTTCCAACTTGAATACCAGTTTAGCCACAGTAGGATAGGGCACCAGGCAGAGTCGTGAGGCCCCCATTCCAGGCCCAGTAGTACACACTGTGGGCCTTGGGTGAGACTCTGAGATGTGCTGGTTTCAGGTGTGACCTAGCATATCCATAGCTGTGATGGCTATGAGAAGAGACTCTTTCTGCTTGAAAAAAGCAGAGGGAAGAGTAAAGGGGACTTTGTTGTTCTGCAATGTAGGTACCAGCTTGACCACAGTGGAGAAGAACACTAAGGCTCTTTGGGTCCCCAGTTTTAGGACTTGGCTCTTGGATGGCACTTGTGGTCCTACCCTGGGCCAGAGGGGAGACTACTACCCTGAAGGGTGAGTCCCAGGCCTGCAAAATCCACCACAAGCTGACTAAAGAGCCTTTGGGATGTAAGTGAACACTGGTGATACCCTGGCAATACTTCCCATGGGCCTGTGGTAGTAGTGGACATGAGGAGAGACTCCGCTGTCTGGAGAAAGAGGAGATAAGAGTGGGAAGGACTTTGTCTTGTGGTTTCAGTGCCAGCTTAATTGCAGTACCCTAGAATATCAGATAGATTTCTAATGTTTCCAGCTTTAGGCCCTGGCTCATGGACAACATCTCTGGACCTGTCTGAGAACTCACTGCCTTGAAGGGAAGAACATAAAACTTGCTGGTATTGCCACCTGCTGATTGTAGAGCCCTAGGGCCTTGAGTGAACATAAGCAGTAGCCAGATAGTGGTTATAGCAGGCCTTGGGCAAGACCCAGTTCTGTGCTGGCTTTAGGTCTGTGCAAGCACGGTTCCTGTGGTGGTTGCCACACAAGTGCTTGTGTCACCCCTTCCCCAGCTCCAGGCAGCTCAGCACCAAGAAAAAGACTTTGTTTGTTTGGGAGAAGGTAAGAGAAGAGAACAAGACTCTCTGTCTGATAATCCAGAAAATTCTCCTAGATCTTATCCATGACCACCAAGGTGGTAGGTACCTCTATGAGTCTTTAGGAACTACAGCATTACTGGGCTGGGGGTGCTGCCTAATGCAGATATGGCTTATATTGCAACACTTGAGTCCCTTCAAATACCCTGAAAGCCTTCCCAAGAAGGATGGGTACAAACAAATCCAGAATATGAAGACTGCAATAAATATCTAACTTTTTAATGCCCAGACACTGACAAACATCCACAAGCATCAAGACTATCCAGGAAAACATGACCTCACCAAACAACCTAAATAAGTCACCAGATCCCAATTCTGGAGCAACGGAGATATGTGACCTTTCAGACATAATTCAAAATAGCTATGTTGAGGACACTCAAAGAAATTCAAGATAACATAGAGAAGGAATATAGAATTTTCTCAGAGAAACTCAACAAATATATTGAAATAATTAAAAAGAATCAAGCAGAAATCTTGGAATTGAAAAATGCAATTGACATACTGAAGAAGACATCAGAGATTTTAAATAACAGAATTGATCAAGCAGAATTAAAAATTACTAAGCTTGAAAACAGGCTGTCTGTAAATACACAGTCTGAGGAGACAAAAAAAGAATTAAAGAATAAAGCATGCTGATGGGATCTAGAAATTAGCCTCGAAAGAGCAAATGTAAGAGTTATTGGTCTTAAAGAGGAGGTAGAGAAAGAGTTTGGGGTAGAAAGTTTATTCAAGGGGATAATAACACAGAACTTCCCAAACCTAGAGAAGTCAGTAACATTGACTTAAATATGTCAATATTCAAGTACAAGAAGGTTATAGAACACCAAGAAGATTTAACCCAAAGAAGACTACCTCAAGGCATTTAATAATCAAACTCCCAGAGGTCAAGGATACTGAAAGCAGCAAGATAAAAAAAACAAATAATGTACAATGGAGCTCCAGTACATCTGGCAGCAGACTTTTTAGTGGAAACCTTACAGGTAAAATGCTTTTTTCCCCCCTTGATCACTTTAACTATGGTATGACAATTTTAAAATGCTGAAGGAAAGAAAATCTTTTATCCTAGAATAGTATATCCAGTCAAAATATCCTTTAAACATGAAGGAGAAATAACAACTCTCTCAGACAAACAGAAGCTGAGGGATTTCATCAATACCAGACCTGTCTTACAGGAAATTCTGGAAAAAGTACTTCAATCAGAAATAAAAGAATGTTAATGAGCAATAAGAAATCATCTGAAGGTGCAAAACTCACTGGTAATAGTAAGAACACAGAACAACACAGAATATTATAACACTGTAACTGTGGTGCACAAACTACTCTTAAGTAGAAGGACTAAATGAACCAATAAAAATGATAAACCCAACAACTTTTCAAGACATAGATAGTACAATAAGATATAAATATAGAAACGAGAAAAAGTTAAAAAGCATGGGGACAAAGTTAAAGCATAGAGTTTTTATTACTTTTTTTTTTGCTTGATTCTTTTTGCAACAATGTTAAGTTGTTCAGCTTAAGAAATGAGTTATAAAATAGTATATGCAAGCCTTATGATAACCTCAAATTTAAAAACATACAGCAGATATATAAAAAGTTGAAAGCAAGAAATTAAATTATATCACCAGAGAAAATTGCCTTCACTAAAAGGAAGACAGGAAGGAAGGAAAAAAGGAAGAGAACACCACAAAACAGCCAGAAAACAAGTAACGAAATGGCAGAAGTAAGTCCGCACTTATCAATAATAACATTGAATGTAAATAGACTAAACTCTCCAATAAAAAGATGTTGAGTGGCTTAATGGATAAAAAATAAGACCCAATGTCCTGTAGCCTACAAGAAACATACTTCACTTACAATGACACACATAGAGTGAAAATAAAGGGATGGAAAAAGATATTCCATGACAATGGAAATCAAAAAAGAACAGAAATTGCTTTACTTATTTCAGACAAAATAGACTGCAAGACAAAACCTATAAGAAGAGACAAAAAAGATTACTATATAATGATAAAAAGGTCAATTCAGCAAGAGGATAAAACAACTGAAAATACATATGCACCCAACAGTGGAGCACCCAGATATATAAAGCATATATTATTAGAGCTCAAGAGAGAAATAGGCCCCAATACAATAATAGCTGGAGACTTCAACGCCTGCTTTCAGAATTGGACAGATCTTCCAGACAGAAAATCAACAAAGAAACTCTGGACTTAATCTGCACTATAGACCAAATGGACCTAATAGATATTTACAGAACATTTCATCCAACAACTGCAGAATACACATTTTTTTTCCTCAGCAAGTGGATAATTCTCAAAGATAGATTATATGTTAGGTCACAAAACAAATCTTAAAACATTCAAAAGGATTGAAACAATATCAAGCATCTTCTCTAACCACAATGGAATAAAACTAGAATTCAATAACGAGGAATTTTGGAAATTATGCAAAAACATGAATATTCAACAATATGCATGCTCCTGAATGACCAGTGGGTCAATGAAAAAGTTAAGCAGGAATTTGAGAAAATGCATGAAACCAATATTAATGGAAACACAACATACCAAAGCCTATGGGATACAATGAAAGCAGTACTAAGAGAGAAGTATATAACTCTAAATGCCTACATCAAAATAGAAGAAAAACTTCACACAAACAACCTAACAATGCACCTTAAAGAGAAAAACAAGAACAAACCAAACACAAGATTAGTAGAGAAAATAAAGATGAGAGCAGAAATACATGAAATGGAGAAAACAATTCAAAAGATCAACAAAACAAAAGTTGTTTTTTTGAAAAGATAAATAAAACTGACAAACCTTTAGCCAGACTAAGAAAAAAGAGAAGACTCAAATAAAATCAGATGAAAAAAGAGACATTACAATGGATACTGCAGAAATTCAAAGGATAATTAGTGGCAACTATGAGCAACTGTATGCCAATAAATTGAAAAATATACAAGAAATGGATAAACTCCTAGACACATACAACCTACCAAGATTAAGTCATGAAGAAATTCAAAACCTGAATAGACCAGTAACAAGTAATGAGATTGAAGCCATAATAAAAAGACTTTTTAGCAAAGAAAAGCCTGGGAACTGATGTCTTCACTGCTGAATTCTACCAAACATTTAAAGAAGAGCTAATACTAATCCTACTCAAACTATTCCAAAAAATAGAGGAAGAGGAACTATTTCCAAACTCATTGTACAAAACCAGTATTACCATATATAAAGTAATCCTACTTACAATACCTACAAATAAAATCAAGTACCTAGAAATTAACTTAACCAAATAAGTGAAAGATTTCTACAATAAAAACTGTAACAGATTGGTGAAAGAAATTGAAAGAAACACAAAACAATGGAAAAATATTCCATGTTCATGAATTGGAAGAACCAATATTGTTAAAATGTCAGTAGGACCCCAAACAATCCAAAGATCAAATGCAGTCCCTATGAAAATACCAATGACATTCTTCACAGAAATAGAAAAAAAAATCCTAAAATCTATATGGAACCACAAAAGACCCAGAATAGCCAAAGCTATCATGATCAAAAAGAACAAAACTGGAAGAATCACATTACCTGTCTTCAAATTATACTACAGAGCTACAGTAACCAAAATAGCATGGAACTGGAATAAAAACAGACACATAGGGACAGACCAATGGGACAGAATAGAGAACCTAGAAACAAGTCCATACATATACAGCAAACTCATCTTCACATATTCTCGTTTATCTGTGGGAGGAAAAAATTAAAACAATTGAACTCATAGAGAAAGAGAGTAGAATGATGATTACCAGAAGCTAGAAAAGGTAGTTGATTGGGGTGATGGAAATGGGGATGTTTAATGGGTATAAAAAATAGAAAGAATGAATAAGAACTAGTATTCAATAGCACAACAGGATGACTATAGTCAATAATCATTTAATTGCACATTTAAAAATAACCAAAAGAGTATAATTAGATTGTTTGTAACACAAAAGACAAATACTTGAGGTGATGTACATCCCATTTATCCTAATGTGATTATTACACATTGTATGCCTGTATCAAGATATCTCATATATCCCATAAATATATACACCTACTTTGGGCCCACAAAAATAAAAAATAAAACCCTTGAAGAAAACCTAGGAAGTACCATTCTGTATATCAGCCTTGGTAAATAATTTATGATTAAGTCTCCAAAAGTAATTGCAAAAGAAACAAAAATTGAAAAGTAGGACTTAATTAAACTAAAGTGCTTCTACACAGTAAATGGAACTATCACCAGAGTAATCAGACAGCCTACAAAATGGGAGAAAACATTCGGAAACTGTATCCAACTGTATTGTCCATACTCACACTGCTATAAGGACATACCTGAGACTGGGTAATTTATAAAGTCAGGAGGTTTAATTGACTCACAGTTTTGCAGGGCTGGGGAGACCTCAGAAACTTACAATCATGACAGATGGGGAAGTAAACACGTCTTTCTTATGCTGAGCAAAGGGGGGAAAGCCCCTTATAAAACAATCAGATCTCGTGAGAACTCACTATCATGAGAACAGCAGCATGGGGGTAACTGCCCCCATGATTCAATTACCTCCCACCGGGTCCCTCCTATGACATATGGGGATTATGGAAACTACAATTCAAGATGAGATTTGGGTGGGGACACAGCCAAACCATATCACCAATAAAGGTCCAATATCCAGAATCTATAAGAAACTTGAACAATTCAACAAACCAAAAACAAATAACTCCCTTAAAAAGTGGGCAAAGCACATGAACAGACACTTTTCAAAAGAAAATGAACATGCTGCCAACAAACATATGAAAAAATATGCTCATCACCACTACTCTTTGAGAAATACAAATTAAAACCACAATGAGATACCATCTCATAACAGTCAGAATCACTATTATTAAAAAGTCAAAAAACAACATACTGATGAGGTTGTGGAGGCAAGGGAACAATTATACACTGCCGGTGGGAATGTAAATTAGTTCAGCTATTTTGAAAACCTGTGTGGAGATTTCTTAAATAACATAAGATAGAACTACCATTTGACCCAGCAATCCCAGTACTGGTTATATATCCAAGGAAAAAAAAATTGTTCTACCAAAAAGACACATGTACTCGCATGTTCATTGCAGTACTATGTACAATAGCAAAGACATGGAATCAACCAAGATGTTCATCAACAGTTGATTGGATAAAGAAAATGTGGACTATATATACCACGGAATACTATGTAGTCATTAAAGTAATGAAATCGTAGCCTTTGCAGCAACATAGATGCAGCTAGAGGCCATTATCCTAAGCAAACTAATGCAGGAACAGAAAGCCAAATACCACCTGTTGTCACTTATGAGCAGAAGCTAAATATTGAATACACATGGACATAAATATGGGGAAAAAAGACACTGGGCAATACTTGAGTGGTAAGGGTGCAGGGTAGTGTGGGTTGGAAGGCTACCTCTTGGGTACTATACTCACTACCTGGTTGATAGGGTTATTCATACACCAAGCCTCAGTGACATGCAATTTACCCATGTAACACACTTGCAAATGTACCCCTAGAATATAATATGAAAGTAGAAGAAGAAAAAATTGAACATGTACTGTAATAAAAGAAACTTTACTACAAGAAGCTATAAATTGTACAATCGATTTATGAAAGCAGTATTGAAAAACCTAGATAATCCAAAAATAAATGAATGGTTTAGTCATAAAAAATGAGGCATAAAAATCTTAAGGAAATACATAATTGTCATTTTTTATTATATTTTAATATGTAGGAATTAGAAAGGTATATCTGAATGGGTGACTAAGAATATTTGGTATCTATTATTGGATTAATGACACAAGTTCACTTATCCCAGTCATACGAATCATAGTAGGAAAGAGATAGGAGGAAGGGCTCTTGGATTAGGCAAATACAGAAAAAATAGTAAAGAGAGTTGGAAACTACTATTGTAGATATTATTATTAGAGGAAAGTGTTTGAAATTCCTTTAATTCACCGTGAAAAACTCAAATATGTGAAGTCGTTCAGATATGAGTCCTTGCTATAATTTGTTTCATTGGAGATTCCATGAAATTTTACATAGACATGTAGATCATCTGCAAATAGGGACAGTTTTATTTCTTCCTTTCCAATACGTGTGTTTTTAAAATTCCAATGGCAACAACTTCCATTACTACATTGAATAAAAGTGTTGAGAATGAACATCCTTGCTTTGATCTTGAAGTTAAAGAGAAAGGTTTTCACCAGTAAGAATCATGTTAGCCACAGGTTTTTAATGGATGCTCCTTATGAAGTTCAGGAAGTTCCCTATATTCTTAGTTTGCTCATTTTTTGGTTTTTACATGTACAGGGTTGTTTAAACAAAACAAAGACTATAAAACAAAGACTATAAAACAAAGACTATATATGGCATGAAAAGCCGAAAATATTTACTATGAAGTCATTTACAAAAAAGTCCAACCTTTAGTCTAAAGATAGCAATTGAAAGACAAAGATGATCAGAATGAATAAAAGCATCATCCACCTATATATTGTCTGTAAGAAATTCACTTACAATGATATAGGTAGAATAAAAGAAAAATGGTGGAAAAGATATAACATGTAAATACTAATTAAAATAAAGCTGGAATTGATATATTAATGTAACACCTAGGAAACATCATAATAAAGAAAATTACTAGGAAAACGATGATCATTATATAATGATAAAATGGTCACTTTACCAATAAGATGTAACAATCTTCAATGTGTGTACATCAAACAGCAAAACTTCAAAATACTTGATGTAAAAGCTGACAGGAATGAATAGAGAAATTGAGAAATACACAATTATAGTTAGAGGACTTTAACACCCCTCTCCCAGTAATTTATAACTGACTAGACTGAAAATTAGTAAGGATAGCGATGAAATAAACAATTCCATAATTAGCAAGATTTAATTAGCATAGTCACAACCCATCCATGTGGAATATATGGTATATTCCACAACCGTAGCAGAATATACTTCTCTTCAAAGGCACATGAAAAATCATCAAGATAGAGTACATACTGGGTCATAAAACAAACTATAACAAACTTAAAATAATTTAAATCTTATAAAATATGTTTTATGACCTTAATGAAATCATACTAGAAGTGAATAACAAAGAGATAACAGGAAAATCACCAAACATTTGGAAACTAAGCAACACATTTTTAAATAATCTAAAGTTTAATGAGAAAGTTTCAAGGGAAATAAAAAAAATGTATTGAACTAAAAGTGATGAAAATGCAACATATCAAAATCTGTGGGATACAATTAAATTAGTGCTTACAGCAAAATTTACAGCAACAAATAAATGCCTATAGTAGAAACAGAAGGCCAGGTGTGGTGGCTCACACCTGTAATCCCAGCACTTTGGGAGGCTGAGGAAGGAGCATGGCTTGAGCCCAGGAGTTCGAGAAAAGCCTCAGGAACATGGCAAAACCCTCTCTCTACAAAAAATAAAAAATAATTAACCAGGCATGGCAGTGTTGCCTGTAGTCTCAGCTACTCAGGAGGCTGAGGTGGGAGGATTGCTTGAGCCCAGGAGGTTGAGGCTGTAGTGAGCTAAGATCATGTCACTACACTCCAGCCTCGGTGACAGACAGAGTAAGACCCTGTCTCAAATTTAAAAATAAAAAAAAAAGAAAAGAAGAAAAATCTCAAATCAATAAGTTTCCACCTGAACAAACTAGAACAAAAGAGCAAAAATAAGACAAAGCAAGTAGGAAAGAAAAATAATAAAGATAATAGCAGAAGTTGAAAAAGTAAAAACAATAGACGATACTCTATATTGCTAACAATAGAGTATATACTATAGTGTACAGTTTATTGTTATACATATCTGTATCTATATTCTATATATACACTATATTTTTATACATGGATATAAAATTGAATAAATAAAGTTGCCTCTAGCAATACTGACAAAGAGAAAAGAGAGAGAAGGCACAAATTACCAATATCAAGAGTGAAACACAGGATGTAACTTGCAGAGGATAAATAATAAGGGAATACTATGAGCAACTCTATGCACACAAATTTGACCATTTAGATGAAATAGACTAATTGCTCAAAATCTACAAATTATCAAAGCAAACATGAAACAGATAATCTTTAATAGTCTTATAAAAACCTGACAAAGAAATCTCCAGGCCCAGACACTTGCAGCGATGATTTTTACCAAATATTAAAAGAAGAAATAAGACCAATTCTGAGCACTTTCTTTCATCAAATAGAAGAAACAGCAACACTTCCCAACTCATATGGTGAAGGCAGCTATCCTGATACCTAAACCAAAGATAGTACAAGAAAGGAAACCTACAGAACAATATTCTTTTTGAATGTGGATGAAAAAAAAAACCCTTAACAAAATACTAAAAATAGAATCTATCAATATTTGGAAAGAATAATATAATATGCCCAAGTAGAATTTATTTCAGGAATGTAAGGCTGGTTTAACACTTAATAATCATAGTCAATCAATACAAACCACAATAAAGAATAAAAACTACATTATTAAATCAACTGATGCAGAAATAGCACTTGACAAAATTCAACACCCACTCATAAAAAATCTAAGTAAACTAAAACTTAAAGTAACTTCCCCAACCTGATAAACAACATCTTCACAAAACCTAACATAATACTTAATATTGACAGACTGAATGCTTTCCCCTTTATGTGGGGAAAAAGGAAATGATGTCAGCTGTCACTCTCATAGTCAACATAATGCTTAAAGTCCAACCCAGTGCAAGAAGGAAAGAAAAGAAACGGCATAAGAGGAAGGGAGAAAAAAGATGTTTGTTTTTATTTTCAGATGACAAGATCGTCGTTATAGATGATGGCAAGGAGCCTACTAACAAACTACTAGAGCTTACAAATGAGTTTAGCAAAATGTCACTATAAAGAAAAATAAATCATATTTATACATGCTAGCAACAAACAACCCAAATGAAAATAGAAAAATTTTTTTTATTATACTTTAATTTTAGGGTACATGTGCACAACGTGCGGGTTTGTTACATAGGTGTACATGTGCCATGATGCTGTGCTGCACCCATTAACTTGTCATGTAGCATTAGGTATATCTCCTAATGCTATCCCTCCCCCCTCCCCCCACTCCACAACAGTCCCCGGTGTGTGATGTTCCCCTTCGTGTGTCCATGTGTTCTCGTTGTTGAATTCCCACCTATGAGTGAGAACATGTGGTGTTTGGTTTTTTGTCCTTGCAATAGTTTGCTGAGAATGATGGTTTCCAGCTTCATCCATGTCCCTACAAAGGACATGAACTCATCATTTTTTATGGCTGCATAGTATTCCATGGTGTATATGTGCCACATTTTCTTAATCCAGTCTATCACTGTTGGACATTTGGGTGGGTTCCAAGTCTTTGCTATTGTGAATAGTGCCGCAATAAACATACGTGTGCATGTGTCTTTATAGCAGCATGATTTATACTCCTTTGGGTATATACCCAGTAATGGGATGGCTGGGTCAAATGGTATTTCTAGTTCTAGATCCCTGAGGAATCACCACACTGACTTCCACAATGGTTGAACTAGTTTACAGTCCCACCAACAGTGTAAAAGTGTTCCTATTTCTCCATATCCTCTCCAGCACCTGTTGTTTCTTAACTTTTCAATGATCACCATTCTAACTGGTGTGAGATGGTATCTCATTGTGGTTTTGATTTGCATTTCTCTGATGGCCAGTGATGATGAGCATTTTTTCATGTGTCTTTTGGCTGCATAAATGTCTTCTTTTGAGAAGTGTCTGTTCATATCCTTCGCCCACTTTTTGATGGGGTCCTTTGCTTTTTTCTTGTAAATTTGTTTGAGTTCATTGTAGATTCTGGATATTTGCCCTTTGTCAGATGAGTAGATTGCAAAAATTTTCTCCCATTCTGTAGGTTGCCTGTTCACTCTGATGGTAGTTTCTTTTGCTGTGCAGAAGCTCTTTAGTTTAATTAGATCCCATTTGTCAATTTTGGCTTTTGTTGCCATTGCTTTTGGTGTTTTAGACATGAAGTCCTTGCCCATGCCTATGTCCTGAATGGTATTGCCTAGGTTTACTTCTAGGGTTTTTATGGTTTTAGGTCTAACAGTTAAGTCTTTAATCCATCTTGAATTAATTTTTGTATAAGGTGTAAGGAAGGGATCCAGTTTCAGCTTTCTACATATGGCTAGCCAGTTTTCCCAGCACCATTTATTAAATAGGGAATCCTTTCCCCATTTCTTCTTTTTGTCAGGTTTGTCAATGATCAGATAGTTGTAGATATGTGGCATTATTTCTGAGGGATCTGTTCTGTTCCATTGGTCTATATCTCTGTTTTGGTACCAGTACCATGCTGTTTTGGTTACTGTAGCCTTGTAGTATAGTTTGAAATCAGGTAGCGTGATGCCTCCAGCTTTGTTCTTTTGGCTTAGGATTGACTTGGCGATGCAGGCTCTTTTTTGGTTCCACTTGAACTTTAAAGTAGTTTTTTCCAATTCTGTGAAGAAAGTCATTGGTAGATTGATGGGGATGGCATTGAATCCATAAATTACCTCGGGCAGTGTGGCCATTTTCACGATATTGATTCTTCCTACCCATGAGCATGGAGTGTTCTTCCATTTGTTTGTATCCTCTTTTATTTCATTGAGCAGTGGTTTGTAGTTCTCCTTGAAGAGGCCCTTCACATCCCTTGTAAGTTAGATTCCTAGGTATTTTATTCTCTTTGAAGCAGTTGTGAATGGGAGTTCACTCATGATTTGGCACTCTGTCTGTTATTGGTGTACAAGAATGCCTGTGATTTTTGCACATTGATTTTGTATCCTGAGACTTTGCTGAAGTTGCTTATCAGCTTAAGGAGATTTTGGGCTGAGACGATGCAGTTTTCTAGATATACAATCAGTCATCTGCAAACAGGGACAATTTGACTTCCTCTTTTCTTAATTGAATACCCTTTATTTCCTTCTCCTGCCTGATTGCCCTGGCCAGAACTTCCAACACTATGTTGAATAGGAGTGGTGAGAGAGGGCATCCCTGTCTCGTGCCTGTTTTCAAAGGGAATGCTTCCTGTTTTTGCCCATTCAGTATGATGTTGGCTGTGGGTTTGTCATAGATAGCTCTTATTATTTTGAGATATGTCTCATCAATACCTAGTTTATTGAGAGTTTTTAGCATGAAGTGTTGTTGAATTTTGTCAAAGGCCTTTTCTGCATCTCTTGAGATAATCATGTGGTTTTTGTCGTTGGCTCTGTTTCTATGCTGGATTACGTTGATTGATTTGTGTATGTTGAATCAGCCTTGCATCCCAGGGATGAAGACCACTTGATCATGGTGGATAAGCTTTTTGATGTGCTGCTGGATTTGGTTTGCCAGTATTTTATTGAGGATTTTTGCATCGATGTTCATCAGGGATATTGGTCTGAAATTCTCTTTTTTTTTGTTGTTTCTCTGCCAGGCTTTGGTATCAGGATGATGCTGGCCTCATAAAATGAGTTAGGGAGGATTCCCTCTTTTTCTGTTGATTGGAATAGTTTCAGAAGGAATGGTACCAGCTCCTCCTTGTACCTCTGGTAGAATTCAGCTGTGAATCCATCTGGTCCTGGACTTTTTTTGGTTGGTAAGCTATTAATTATTGCCTCAGTTTCAGAGCCTGTTATTGGTCTATTCAGAGATTCAACTTCTTCCTGGTTTAGTCTTGGGAGGGTGTATGTGTCTAGGAATTTATCCATTTCTTCTAGATTTTCTAGTTTATTTGCATAGAGGTGTTTATAGTATTCTCTGATGGTAGTTTGTATTTCTGTGGGATCGGTGGTGATATCCCCTTTATCATTTTTTATTGCTTCTATTTGATTCTTCTCTCTTTTCTTCTTTATTAGTCTTGCTAGCGGTCAATCAATTTTGTTGATCTTTTCAACAAACCAGCTCCTGTATTCATTGATTTTTTGAAGGGTTTTTTGTGTCTCTGTTTCCTTCAGTTCTGCTCTGATTTTAGTTATGTCTTGCCTTCTGCTAGCTTTTGAATGTGTTTGCTCTTGCTTCTCTAGTTCTTTTAATTGTGATGTTAGGGTTTCAATTTTGGATCTTTCCTGCTTTCCCTTGTGGGCATTTAGTGCTATAAACTTCCCTCTACACACTGCTTTGAATGTGTCCCAGAGATTCTGGTATGTTGTATCTTTGTTCTCATTGGTTTCAAGGAACATCTTTATTTCTGCCTTCATTTCGTTATGTACCCAGTAGTCATTCAGGAGCAGATTGTTCAGTTTCCATGTAGTTGAGTGGTTTGGAGTGAGTTTCTTAATCCTGAGGTCTAGTTTGATTGCACTGCGGTCTGAGAGACAGTTTGTTATAATTTCTGTTCTTTTACATTTGCTTAGGAGTGCTTTACTTCCAACTATGTGGTCAATTTTGGAATAGGTGAGATGTGGTGCTGAAAATAATGTATATTCTGTTGATTTGGGGTGGAGAGTTCTGTAGATATCTCTTAGGTCCGCTTGGTGCAGAGCTGAGTTCCATTCCTGGATATCCTTGTTAACTTTCTGTCTCGTTGTTCTGTCTAATGTTGACAGTGGGGTGTTAAAATCTCCCATTATTATTGTGTGGGAGTCTAAGTCTCTTTGTAGGTCTCTAAGGACTTGCTTTATGAATCTGGGTGCTCCTGTATTGGGTGCATATATATTTAGGATAGTTAGCTCTTCTTGTTGAATTGATCCCTTTACCATTATGTAATGCCCTTGTCTTTTTTTATCTTTGTCTGTTTAAAGTCTGTTTCATCAGAGACTAGCATTGCAAACCCTGACATTTTTTGTTTTCCATTTGCTTGGTAGATCTTCCTCCATCCCTTTATTTTGAGCCTATGTGTGTCTCTGCACATGAGATGGATTTCCTGAGTACAGCACACTGATGGGTCTTGACTCTTTATCCAGTTTGCCACTGGGTCTTTTAATTGGAGCATTTAGCCCATTTATAGTTAAGGTTAATATTGTTATGTGTGAATTTGATCCTGTCATTATGATGCTAGCTGGTTATTTTGCTCATTAGTTGATGCAGTTTCTTCCTAGCCTCGATGGTCTTTACAATTTGGCATGTTTTTGCAGTGGCTGGTACCGGTTGTTCCTTTCCATGTTTAGTGCTTCCTTCAGGAGCTGTTGTAGGGCAGGCCTGGTGATGACAAAATCTCTCAGCATTTGCTTGTCTGTAAAGTATTTTATTTCTCCTTCACTTATGAAGCTTAGTTTGGCTGGATATGAAATTCTAGGTTGAAAATTCTTTTCTTTAAGAATGTTGAATATTGGCCCCCACTGTCTTCTGGCTTGTAGAGTTTCTGCTGAGAGATCAGCTGTTAGTCTGATGGGCTTCCTTTTGTGGGTAACCCAACCTTTCTCTCTGGCTGCCCTTAACATTTTTTCCTTCATTTCAACTTTGGTGAATCTGACAATTATGTGTCTTGGAGTTGCTCTTCTCGAGGAGTATCTTTGTGGCATTCTCTGTATTTCCTGAATCTGAATGTTGGCCTGCCTTGCTAGATTGGGGAAGTTCTCCTGGATAATATCCTGCAGAGTGTTTTCCAGCTTGGTTCCATTCTCCCCGTCACTTTCAGGTACACCAATCAGACGTAGATTTGGTCTTTTCACATAGTCCCATATTTCTTGGAGTCTTTGTTCATTTCTTTATATTCTTTTTTCTCTAAACTTCTCTTCTTGCTTCATTTCATTCATCTGATCTTCCATCACTGATACCCTTTCTTCCAGTTGATCAAATTGGCTACTGAGGCTTGTGCATTCATCACGTAGTTCTCGTGCCATGGTTTTCAGCTCCATCAGGTCCTTTAAGGACTTCTCTGCCTTGGTTATTCTAGTTAGCCATTCGTCTAATTTTTTTTCAAGGTTTTTAACTTCTTTGCCATGGGTTCGAACTTCCTCCTTTAGCAAAAATCACCCGTCTTCTGCGTCGCTTACGCTGGGAGCTGTAGACTGGAGCTGTTCCTATTCGGCCAGCTTGGCTCCTCCCCCAAAAATCAAAATTTAAAACATACCATTTACAATAGCCCTCAAAAATAAAATATGTAGGTATAAATCTAATAGCTTATCTATGAGATCTTTCTATTGAAAGCAGTAAAACTTCAATAAAAAACAGTTAAAGACCTAAACAAATGGAGAGATATACAATATTCATGAATTGGAGAACTCAACTTAAAAAGATGTCAATTCTCCCCACAATGATTTATTCATTTAATTCCATTTCTGTTAAGATCTCATTTAACTCCATTTCTATTAAAATGGATTTTTGGTGGATATCAACAAGCTTATTCTAAAATTGTTGTGAAAAGGCAAAGGAACTAGAATAACTAAAACAATTTTGAAAAAGAATAACAACAGAAGAGTAATTCAATCTGATTTTAAGATTTACTATATAACTACAGTAATAAAAAACAGTGTGGACTTCATGGAGGGATTGTCACATAGACTAATACAACAATAGAGAGTTCAGAAACATGCACAGAAGTCCAGCCAACTGATTTCTGATAAACGTGCAAAACAAATTCAATGGAAAAAGCATATTTTTAAAATAAATGGTGCATAATGCATTTGGAATTCATACATGTTTTTGTGTCAGTAGTTCTTCCTTTTTTGCTATAATTATATTCAGTGGATGTACTATATTTTATTTATCTATTTTTCAAGTGAAGGACATTTGGGTTGTTTCTGGTGATTATAAATGAAGCGGTATAAACAGTAATGTTTAGGGTTTTTTTGCGAACATAAGTTTTCATTTTTCTTTGGAAATACCTGGAAGTGGGATTATTGGGTCATATAATAGGCATATGCTTATTTTTGAAAGAGACTACTAAACAGTTTTCCAAAGTGGTTGTACCATATTGAATTTCTCTCAGCAATGTATGAGATTTGCAATTGCCCTGCATTGTCACTCACACTTGGTAATGTCATTATTTTGTATTTTATCCATTTTATTTGTGTGAAGTGGTATCTCATTGTGATTTTAATTTTCACTTTCCTAATGATGAGTAGTATTGTGTAATGATTTCTAATGACTAATAACTCATTTGATATCTGTGTCTTTTTTGGTGAAGTGCCTGTTCTTTTGTCCCCTTTTTGGGGGTTGATTATGTTATTATTATTGAGTTGTGAAAGTTCTTTATTTGGGCTACAAGTTCTATGTCAAAAGTGTAAGTTGCAAATATCTTTTCTAAGTGTATGGCTTATCTTTTCATTCTCTTAACAGTGTATTTCATAGAACAGAAATTACACGTTTTGATTAAGTCTCATTAACCATTCTTTTCCTGTTATCAGTTGTGCTTTTGGTGCTGTAGTTAGAAAATGTTTGCCTAACCCAATGTCATAAAATTTTCTTTTATGTTTTCTTTGAGAAGTTTTATAATTTTAGGTTTTACCTTTAGGTGTATTAGCCATTTTGAGTTAATTTTTGTATGATATGTAAGGTATGGGTCAAGGTTTTTTTTTTCATATGGACGTCCAATTTTCCCAACATCATTTATTATTTAGTTCACTAATACTTCTTCAGTTATGTTAAATAATTTTATCTTTAAAATTTCTAGTGAGTTCTTTTTAGCTATTATATTTTTCATTTCTAAAACTTCAATTTGTTTTTTTTATTTTACAAGGTCTTTTTGATATGTTCTTTTTATTTGCTCATTAGTAATTTTTTATTTTTTTAAACATTTCATTCATATTGTTTTATATTGTGTATCCAATAACACAGTATGCATTTTTAAAGGTGTATCATCTTTATTTGTTGTTGTTTAAAGGTTTCCTTAAATTTTAGCTGTAAAACAAATATATCTACATTAACATTTTTTATTTTTAATTTTTGTGGTTAGATAGTATGTACATATATTTATGGGGTACATAAGATGCTTTGATATGGCATTCAATGTGTAATAATTACATCATGAAGAATGAGGTATCCATTCCTTCAAGCGTTTATCCTTTGTGTTACAAACAATCCACTTATACTCTTTATTTTAATATATACAATTAAGTTATTGTCGACTTTAGTCACTCTGTTGTGCTATCAAATAGTAGGTCTTATTCATTCTTTCTATTTTTTTTGTACCCATTAACCATGCCCATCTTCTCGCCCAACCCCTCACTACCCTTCCCAGCCTCTGGTAATCATCATTCTACTCTCTATGTCCAATTGTTTTGATTTTTAGATCCCACAAATAAGGGAGAACATGTGATGTTGTCTTTCTTTGTCTGGCTTATTTCACTTAACATAATGATCTCTAGTTTTATCCATGTTGCTGCAGATGATAGGATCTCATTCCTTTTTTATGGCTGAAGAATACTCCATTGTATATAAGTGCCACATTTTCTCTATCCATTCATCTGTTGATGGACACTTAGGTTGCTTCCAAATCTTGGCTGTTGTGAACAGTGCTGCAACAAACATGGGAATGCAGGTATCTCTTTGATATATTTATTTCCTTTCTTTTGGGTATATACCCAGCAGTAGGATTGCTGGTTGATATGGTAGCTCTATTTTTAGTTTTCTTGAGGAAACTCCAAATTTTTCTCTATAGTGGTTGTATTATTGTCTGCTACTTTTATTCATGGTTGCTTGTTTCCCTGTATATTGGTGATTTCATATTGTGAGCTCGTATTTAATTGATCTTATTCTGTGAGACACTGAGAGTCTAAATTGGAATTGCTGTCACCATAAAAGATTTGTATGTTTCTACCAGGAGCCAGTGGTTCTACTAGTCTGGCACCACTTTTACTTTGTTTGAGAATCTAAGCCCAATGCAGAGGACTTAGGTTTAGTTTCTCATCTTGTTCTAGGTTTAGTCTCCCCTTTCTAATACTGGTTTCAACATTTGTCCTAGAATAAAAATGCTATCTTTTGCTCTTCCTTATTGTTCATCATTCTGGCTACAGCTCATTGTCTCTTTCCCACCCTCCCTCCACCTCCACCTTACGTGACCTATGTGGTGACATGTCTTACTTTCTTATAAGCTCAGCAATGCTTTGAAAAGATTGATTGTGTAATTCATTGAGGATCTAGTTATATTTTGAGTGCTTTTTTATGGCTTTTATAAGGGCTTTTTAGAACATTTATTAGCTATACTGCAGGAAGCAGAGATGTTTTATTTTTCTTTTTAAATGCTGTACCTAGAAATGGTCACATGTCATATATGTCATATCTGAATAAAAAAGGCCCAGCGCTGTGGCTCATGTCTGTAATCCCCACACTTTAGGAGGCTGAGGCAGGTGGATCACTTGAGGTCAGGAGTTTGAGACTAGCCTGACCAACAACACCGTCTCTACTAAAAATGCAAAAGTTACCCAGGCGTGGTGGCAGGTGCCTATAATTCCAGCTACTCAGGAGGTTGAGGCAGGAGAATCACTTGAACCCAGGAGGCAGAGGTTACAGTGAGCTGAGATCACACCACTGCACTCCAACCTGGGAGATGGAATAAGACCCTGTCTTTATAAAAAATAAAAAAAAAAGAATTAAGACAAAAACTCATTTTTTTTTCAGGTTCACAGTCCAAGTAGGTTCTAGAGTAGCCTTTTACCCTCACTTTTCATTTTTTATTGACATACTGAGTGTAGACACTGTTAGTCATTCATCTTCAGAAGGTCTATGAGAAGAAACATTCTAGAAAATCTAGAACACATCCTAGAAAGCCAATTGCAGAGCACAATTGATTCTCAATCCTTGTCCTTTGGGATAGAGAACATTAACTTCTTTTTACTCAGTCATATTGGGGAAAAGAAAAACTGTAGATTTACGAACCTCAGTGGCACATGCTGTCTCACAGAAGCAATCATGAAACCTGTGGTCACAGTTTCTACAAGGGGCAAACGTGTGTCAGCTGGAAGGCATGGGAACTGTTCTCCATTATGGAAATATGGGTGGAATATTTCATATGTCTTCCAACTTTAATCTCTTTTTTAATAAAATAGATCTGTTGTATTTTAAATAAGCCCAGAGGGCTATAAAGAACTGGATTCAAGTGTGGACCCAATGTAAAGTTTTAAGAAAATTGCTATCAGGGAAGGTAGATATATTACCTGCCCAGTGACCTCTTTTCTAATAAGCATAATTTTTGTTCTCATTTCATTTGTTCTTTTTCGGTATTCATTTTGTTTAACACAGAACTGGACTTTCTTTTCTTTCTTTCTAAATCTAAAACAGAGCTTCTGTTTCTAAGGAAAAACATAAGTTAATTGAATTCTTGCTATGGTTTGAACATGTCCCCAAACGTTCATGTGTCGGAAACTTAATTCCCAATGCAACAATGTTGAGAGGTGGGACCTCTAAGAGGTGATTAGGTCATGAGGGGTCTGCCTTCATCAATAGATTAATGCTGTCATGACAGGAGTGGGTTAGTTGTGGAAGGAGTGTGTTCCCTGTAAAAACATACATTTGGTCCACTCACCTATGCTCTCTTGCCTTTCTGCCTTCCACCATGGGATGATGCAGCAAAAAGGCCCTCAGCAGATGCGGTCTCTCTGTCTTGGACTTCCCAGTCTATAGAACCATGGCCAAATACATTTCTGTTCATTTAAAATTACCTGTTCTGTTGTATTCTGTTATAGCAGCACAAAGTGAACTAGAACAGTGCTCACTGCAAAACATGTTCTTATTTGTCCCAAAACTACCATCACCTCTCCTTTCCCCCTTCCTATGAAAAGACAGAAATGTCATGTGTTTCCAATAAAGATAACAACTTCTGAAATATATATCAAGTGTATACTGTGTCAGGATAGGGCTGCCAGATAAAATACAGATTGCCTGATTTTTTTTTTTTTTCTGTATATGTAGCAAACCCTAGTCAAAAACCAGGTAGACAGGTCACTTGGGGTCAGGAGTTCAAGATCAGCCTGGCCAACATGGTGAAACCCCATCTCTATTAAAAATATAAAAACTAGGCATGGTGTGGTGGCTCACGCCTGTAATCCCAGCACTTTGAGAGGCTGAGGCAGGCAGATAACGAGGTCAGCAGTTCAAGACCAGCCTGGCCAATATGGTGAAACCCCATCTCTATTAAAAATACAAAAATTAGCTGGGTGTGGTGGCACATGCCTGTAGTCCCAGCTACTCAGGAGGCTGAGGCAGGAGAATTGCTTGAACCTGGGAGGCGGAGGTTGCAGTGAGCCGAGATTGCGCCACTGCACTCCAGCCTGGGTGACAGAGTGAGACTCCATCTCAAATCAATAAATCAATAAATAAAAATAAAAACTAGCTGGTCATGATGGTGGGCACCTGTAATCCCAGCTATTCAGGAGGCTGAGGCAGGAGAATAGCTTGAACCTGGGAGGCGGAGGTTGCAGTGAGCTGAGATAGTGCCACTGCACTCCAGCATGGATGACAGAACAAGACTCCATCTCAAAAAATAATAATTAAAAAAAAGAAAAAGAAACCAGGTAGGTACTTTACACAGTTTATCTGAAATATTTATGAAAGACTACAAAAGACAAACAATGAAGTAGGAATTTGAATCCAGCTGTGTCTTGTTCCTAAGTCTAGACATTTCTGCATATTCCTTGTCCCACACTGACTATAGAAATCTATGTAACAAAAGCCATTGAGAATACACAGTGGAATTGATACCTGTGCTGAACTTCCATCTTTTCTAGAACGAAGGCACTTATATCACCTAAGAATTAAGATTCTACCCAGAAACCCACAGAGAGTTTGAGAATAAATTGTCAAAAGGCTCAAATATCCAGAAAAAGAAGTGAGAGAAAAAAAACTTTTACATATTTTGACCTTTTATTACTCTCCATGGTTTAAGACATAACATGTTCTGAAACATGATTTTTATAAATGGCATACTTGGGGCCAAAAATATAAACAAAAAGCTATTCCCATCAGACCCCTCAATAGCTATTAACATAATTATTTCTAATTTTCCATTGAGTGAATGTTCTGTGATTTAATAAAGTGAATTATTTTTTAAAATTGCAAGAAAGGAGGCTTATTTTTCTTTAGCTTTAAAAGGATCAAAAATTTATTCTGAATAAAATTATGAGTGTGGTCATATAATAGTTGAAAGGCTAAGATAGCAAACTATCTCACGCTTGTGTACCAATTTGTGAGAATTGACCATTTTCAGACAGAAAATCAAGCCCAGAGATCTTAAGTGACCTCTTAGTGACCTCTCCACTGGCCCAGTATAATAATAACAACAGTGGTAGATGAAGTGAGGTCATATGTGCCAGTGGGTAGGATGGAAGTACATCTAGAGCTGTATTTCCAGCTTTGACCATTCATTTACTACCTAAATGATTTTTGCAATGTCAGTATGCTCTTGTTATTTACTTATTTTCTTTAAATTATGTCTTTTTTCACTTAAAAATAAATTTATCCTTATACTAAGTAATAATATTCATGAAATCATGTTTGATAAAACAGTTATGTGTTTATTTCCAGCAAATATTAAATCATAAACTTAACTTAAAATTTAAAATATCTCTTTGTGAGCCACCTAAAATCAATCAGTATACCCGTGTACTCATGGTGTTATGTATATAGCATTTTGGGAAATATTGTCTCAGAACAGGGGGCAGCAAATTTTGGCTGGCTGCCTGTTTGTATAAACAAAGTTTTATTGGAACACAGCCAGGTCCATTTATTTTTATATTGTTTTGGCTGTTTTTGTGCTATAAAGGCAGGTTAAGTAGTTTCTACAGTGAATATATGTCTTACAAAACTGAAAAATATTTAGTATATGGCTCTTTACAGAAAAGTTTGTCAATCCCTGGGTTAGAGGAACACTCCCCAGTTGGGTTTTGTCCATTTCCGTTACTGCCCTCTGGTTCTCATTCATGATACAAATTTCCCTCTCCTTGAAGTCTCTTTCATGAGAAGCAACTATTCTACCTTCTGTGAAGACCAGACTAGAGAAAACCTACTTAAGCATAGGCTGAATCCACAGAGTCTAATGAAGGTCTATTGACAGATCTCCACCAAATGTCTGTTGTCTTGAAAGGGATACACTTCAGTTTGCTGCAGAGACTAGCTATCTCATTATTCCCCAACCCACTGGACTGAACATTCCAGCATTTTTTTTCTCTCCCGTCTTCAAAATGGAGTGACATAAGATAAGATTTCAAGCTTGAAAACTGACTTTGAGTAAGAATTCAACATTGATGTGGCTGTCACCTCTAGCTCTGATATCTATATTCCTAAGTGCGGGCAGCTTCTGTTTAAGGTAAAGTTGAACATTGTTAAGCAGAAAAGCAATTTTCATCAGGTAAAATAAGGGGAAAAATTTGTAAATCTGTGTCACCTTACATTACACTGTCTGGCTTTTTTTTCAGTCATTTCTTGTGAGAGAGAATAAAAGTCCTCATATAAAAGAAAGTGAAATTTTATAATTTTGAGGAAACAAGAGAAACAGCTCTGTGTATATGTATTAGCTATTGCTGGCTCTGGAAATATGTTTTTATCACTCTTATTACTATAACTGTAGATAATCAGGATATAAAATTAAAATTTGTAATATATATCCAGTTAATGAGATAAGAAAGTATCACAACTAAACATTTTTAGTATATTTCTTCAAGATGTTTGTGGACTGACTAACCAAATTATGAACAAACTATTGAGGCATTATAGAGAAGATAACGATTCATTGATATTGATGCGTGTGTATATATTTAAGGTGGGGAAGGATTGGAAAAATGTTCATAGAGGAAATTTTATTTCGGTCCTCAAGGATGAGTAGGAGTTTTCTAGGTAGAAAAGCAGGTGGAAGACATTTCATGAAAAAGGATTTGTTCTTCTCTTACAAGAGTCAGTGGTAGGATGTTATAAAAAGCACTAGCTGCATCTTCATTGTCCATATCAATTTTGACCTTGACAAGCCTTTAAGAATGTTTCGAGGTCATTTTCTGGGTCTGTTTGGTGGGTCTTTTGCAAATAAGTCACTTATTCTCAGGAAAAAAATGCTTCCTTTTTCTTGGTTAAAGAATATATATCCCCTAGTTTTTGATGCTTTGTCTTGACTCACTAAACCAAATGACTTCTGTAACTTGGTCTGTGATAGAGCAGTGGAGGTTCAGGTCTGAGAAAGGAAGCAAGACCTAGGCTTTGGCCATACTGTTACAGAAAGATTTTGTTCCCTGGGTGGCAGCTAAGAAACCTCCCTGACATATCTGCACATCACACCATGATACGATATTTTCCTGACTTCTCTATGGTTTGGGCCCTCCCTGCCAATTCTCCATTTGCCTCTGCAGCAGCAATGGAATCAGTCAGCGGATGTTGATATTATCTTTCTGCATCTGCAAGTGTCCCACAGGGCTAAGATCCCATGTTTCCTACAGTTCAGCATTTATCCTTCTCTTGGGAAATAGCATTTGTCCTGATGGGGAAAAGCAGGTGCATAAGCTTCTATACCAGGGACTCTGTACCCAAGAACAGAGAGATTTGTAGGGCCCTTTGCCAATGCAGGCTATCAGAGCAGCTTATGGTCTGCCAGTCTTGACAATTCCATGGAGCAGAGCAAGGGCTTTGTCATGATATCACAAACCAAAGGGGAACAGTAGAATAGGATCAAAGGCAGAAGGGTGGCTTTCATAATCTAACCAGAGGATATGAAGTGACAGGTTCTAGTTAAATTTGGCAGAGACATATGTTGTGGGATCTCATGGAGAAGCCTTTGGTTGTGTAGCCTGTACTTCAGGGGGTGGCGTGGGATAGACGCTCCAGCTTTTCCAGTATCAGTGTCATCTGGAGGAGGGCTGAAGTGACTCATCCAGGAAAGCCTCATGGCAGGCTGGGAATAAAAGGGAAAGAGGCTGGCAGTAGTCTACCAGGCCTCCTACTTGTCCTGAGTTTTTGCATCATAATGAGGTCCAAATGCTCTTTACATCTTCTATGAACCCCTTTGGAGTTTATAGAATCATTGCATGTAGAAGTGGAAGGGATCTTTGAGTTTATCTGCTTCAACACTTTCATTTCAAGATGAACACTGAGGCCAAAGGAGGGCAACTGAATGGTCTGAGAATAGCCAAAATGCCCCACTCTCCAGTTTCCTCCCTCCTCTCTCTTCCTCCTGTCTTTCCTTCCTCCTCTCTCTTCCTCCTGTCTTTCCTTCCCTTCCTTCTGCATATATTTATTAAATATCTACTATGTTCCAGTATTCTTCTAGGCAATTAAGACATGTCAGTGAATCAAATAGTGAAAGATTCCTGTCTTCATGGATCCTATTAGGAGACAGACACTAACCAACATACATGACAGATAAGTTACACAATGTGATAGAATGTGATAAGTACTATGGAAAAGAATTCAGAGTGGGATCCCTGTGGGTGAAGGAAGGGGAAAATGCAGTTTTAAATATGGTGGTCAGGGCAGGATTTATTGAAAAGGTGATATTTGAGCAAAGGCTTGAAGGCAATGAGAGTCTGCTGTGTGGGTGTCTGGAGGAAGAATAGTCTAGGTAGAGAGAACAGCTGGTGCAAAGGTCCTGAGGTGGGAGTATGTCTAGTGTGCTTGAGGAATGACAAACAGGTTAGAGAGAATGGAGTGGAGCAAATGAAGAGTGGAAAGTAGGAAATGAGATAAGAGAAGTAGCAAGTTGGTAATTACTTTCTAAATAATTGTAAAGGAATTTGGGCTTTTATTCTGATTAAGGTAGAAAATCATTGGAGGATTTTGAGCTAGGGATAGTAAGATTTGATTTACATTTACAAAGAAAAATCCTGTGTGCCATTTGAGCATACACTGTAAGAGGGCAAGGGAGGAAGCAGGGAGCCCAGTTATGGTTCTTTGTTCAGAGCTCAGACAAAGAAATGGAAAAACATTCCAGGTATGTTTTTCAGGTAAAGCCAGCATTGTTTGCTTATAGATTTTGTGATAGGAGAGAAAGAGAAAAATCATGGAGAACTCCTGAGTGTTTGGCTTGAATGATAGAAAAGATGGAGAGATCAACTGAGATGGTTAAGTCTTGGATGCAGAAGGTTTAAGAAGGAAAATCAGTTTAACTTTGGACATGCTGAATTTAAGATGCCTGTTGGATACTCAGGTGGGGATAAATAGGTGGCTGGTTGTTGAAGTCTGAAATTTAGGAGAAAATTTGGGCTGAAGATATACATTTGAAAGTAGCCATTGTATATATGATATTTAAATCTGTAAGACTAAAAATTTTGTCTGAATAATGTCTGTAAATAAAGAAGACATGACCAAGGACTCAGCTCTGGGCACCTCAACATTATGAGGTCAAAAAAAGGAGAAACCAGAAGAAGGTACACTAAGAAGACACTCTCACAGAGGTAGGAGAAAAGCCAGCAGAATGTGGTGTCCTGAAACCCAAGTGAAGACAGTGCAATTAAGGAGGGAGTGAGGAACTGTGTTAAGATCTGCTGATTGACCAAGGAAGGTGTGGACTGGAAACTGAAAAATTTGATTTAGCTATACACAGTAGATCTTCTTAAGAGCAGTATTGGAACAGTGGTGGAGAAAGCTAAGTTGGGTTGTATTTCTGTGAGAATGGGAGAAAAAATTGTAGATTGTGTGTATATATGTAATACCTTAAAAGGGGTTTGCTGCAAAGAAATGAAAGAAATGGAATGGCAACTAGAGGAAAAGTGAAAACTTCTAGAGAGGTTTTTGTTTTTTGTTTTTTTGTTTTTTTCTTAGATGGGAGAAACAACATGTTTGTAAGCTGATGGGGATGATTTAGTAGAGGGTGAGAGAAGAAACAATTGCTAGAAAGATATCCTTCAGTGGACCAGAGGAGATGATCAAGTACAAAAAGACTGTCTTTAGATAGGAGTATGGTTAATTCATGTGTTAGCAGGTGCAAAAATGGAATATGTGGCCTTGAAGATAGTAGGTGGGTGGAAGAGACAGTAGAGTCCACCAAACTTCTTTTGTATTATTTAAAATTTCTCCACAAAAAACATGAGAGTAAGAATGTGGGAGGGATTTTGGAGGTTTGAGGAGAGAAGGTGTAAGAAAGTCTTTTGAAAGAATGGGAAAATGAAATAAATGGACTAGAAAAGTATAGTGATCAACCCCCCCTCCCTCCCTCCCCCTTCCCTTCCCTCCCGCTTCCCTTCCCTTCCCTTCCCTTCCCTTCCCCTTCCTTCCTTCCTTCCTTCCTTCCTTCCTTCCTTCCTTCCTTCCTTCCTTCCTTCCTTCCTTCCATTCTGTTCGCCCTTGCATGTCTACAACACACCAAACACTGTGCTCAATTTGCTTATCTATTTTTGTTATCTGTAAGTGGAGGGACAACATTTTTTCTTATTAAAACTCTGTGGGAGAGACATCCTGGTACTAAGTCACCATCATGAATGAATAAGCCAGGCATCAAGCCCATCCACAGTCTCCAAGGCTGTTTCTGGCAGGTGACGAAGGATGGTTCAAAATGGGCAATCATAGTGCCACTGAAAGTTTTCTGCAGGAGGATAGAAATCCAAAATCCAGTAGTGAAACTGAGTTTGCCTTACTCCCACACACAAGTTCTCAAATTTCATCATTCAAGGAGACTGTTCTCATGAGCCTATTGACTACAAATTTGATTTAGGTTATTTCTCAGAACTAGATTTAAAACATTTTTTTTTAATAATATAGTGTTTTCAGGATATGTCCTAGCCTAGGCAGCTCATCATTTGAATAAGCTAAAAGATTATCATTCAATATTTTTTTCAAGGACTCTCAACATCTCATAGATGCTTGGAAAATGTAATATGGATTGGGGATTGTCTTTATTCATGGGACCTAAGACAGAGAAATATATAATATAATTTATAGATTGCTGTAATTACAAGTGGAAAACTGAAAACTTCATAGGAAAGGGAATGGCTAGGTATTCCATTCTAAACAGCTTTATATATTTTCTAAAAATTCTGAGGGTTATTTCCAACAGTTTAAGGTTGGTTGTTTTTAATCTTTCCCAGCACATCACTGTGACCCTTATTTTCATTCTCTTGGCCTCTCCCTTAACTGCTCCCTTAGTGTATTCAAATTGTTTCCTTGATTAAGAGGTCTAAAGTTGCTCACAATATTTCAAGCTGGCTGAAGGTTGATACATAGCTCTAGCTAGAACGAAATGCATTTTAGAGGTTCAAATAGGAATTACTTATATTTCTAAGGGAAATTGTTTTTTAAAGGTTAGCTAAGAACACATTTATAATAGAGATGGTGCCATAACAGCAGCATCCCATTTGCCAGCAACCCACAGAGCTGCTTGTGGTTATGTGCACTGTTGAATGTGCACTGTTTTCAAGTGTGGATTCCACCACATACTCACTGCCCATTCAACACTGCATCATGACAAATTGGTGTGGCTCCTCTCTTGCTTTGCTGTTGGTCACTTGTAGAATTCCATGGCACAGTCTGTTTGATGGGACAAGGCTCCCTCACTATGGGTCCATCAGAAGAGTGGATGTGGAACAAGTAAGAAACCCTTTGATGCCCACCCCAAATGACACTATCCTTAACATACACCATTCATGGTTGTGTGTAGGTGTTACACTTTACTGAAGAGTTGAAGGGAAAATGTTAAGCTGTAGGCTAAACTTGACTTTTTGCAATGACCAAGGAAGAAACAAAAAGAATTAGCCCCTTTGAAGGTCCTCTGGCAGAATATCTTCTAGTTCCCAATATTACCCCTCTGCCTTTCCTCATGTCTCTCCCTGTCACACAGCTGATTGTGTTTTGTTGTTGTTGTTGCTGTTGTTTTTTAATATAAGGATTGTGATTCTCTGCCCAACTTGTAGAAAATCCCACTCCTTACATTTGGGGCTCCAAAATTCTTGGCCTATATATAAAGTCCCTTAATTCTCCCTGAAATCATCTTCTTTCAAGGAGTTTGAGACCAGCCTCAAGCGATCCTCCAGCCTCAGTCTCTCAAAGTGAGAGGGGCAACATAGTGAGACCCCTGCCTCTACCAAAAATAAAAAATAAAAAACTTAGCTGAGGATGGTGGTGTGTGCTCATGTGTCTACTTAGGAGGCTGAGGTGGGAGGATTGCTTTAGCCCAGGCAGTCAAGGCTGCAATGAGTCTTGATTGTGCCACTGCACCCTGGCATGGGTGACAGAGTAAGACCCTGTCTCAAAAAAATCAAAAACCAAAACCAAAAATCAGCCAAGACCCAGTGGCCTCAGCAAGATTGGAATCCATAGAAGCGGAGAAAAATGAAGCAGGAGCTGTTTTATAAAGGCACTGTGCAGTGGGTTGGATGTAATACCATTGGCAACAGCGGTAGTAATAATAATAATTATAATTATAATGATGACAATAATTATAACATTAGCTAAATTTGCTAGAGAACCATCTATGTGCCAAGAACTTTATAAAAACTATCTATTTGATTTTGAGAAACATCGAGCAATGTAGGCATTATTATCCTTGTATTTTTAGATGTCAAAGCTGTGATTAAGAGAGATTAAATAATTTCACCAAGATGAGACACCTATTAAGAATAGAACTGGGATTTGAACCAAAATAGACATGACACACATGTCTGTGCTCACTCCACAGCATCTGTGTCCTCCCTAGGAAACTTTCAGTGGTCACTGAGCACCTCAGATACCTCCTTGGGAAGACAAAGGATTTGGAAGTTTGAGGTGCCAGGTATTCTCCAGGCTGAAATAATTGAAATAGTAGGATATTCTTGATAACTCTTCTTATAATGCGTGATCTAGAAAGCAAGAATTATGTTAAAATATAGAAGGTGAGTGAATACTTATTTCACTGGGAAGAAGAGCTTTCTTCCTGAGCATTTAAATTTCCCTGTAAAGTCATCCCTCGGTATGCATAGGAGATTGGTTCCAGGACCTCCAGGGTACCAAAATCTACAGATGTTCAAGTCCCTTGTATAAAATGATGCTGTATTTGCATATGGCCTATGCACATCCTCCCATATGCTTTCAGTATCTTGATTACTTACAATACCTGATGCAAGGTAAATGCTATGTAAATGATTATCATACTGTATTTTTAAAATTGTGTATTATTTTTATTGTTGTTTTTTTTTATTTATTGAGAATTTCTGATCTGTGGTTGGTTGGCCTTGTGGATACAAAGGGCCAGTTGCACTGTGGTGCCTTGTATCTTACAGACACATCCCTTAACATTTTTGCTTGAATGGGATGAGGTGAGTTTACTGCCATTTCATTTTTATTTCTGGAGAACCCCAAACAACTGCACTACCTATTTGCAAATGATCATTCAGGAAAAGTATGTTAAACCTGGGTTTATGCATACACTATCTATTTTCTATTTATTTTGCTTCAAGCACTACTTATGGATTTACCTGTATCATAATTACCTCTTGTAAAGTGAATTTTAAAGTATTCATTTTCGTTAAAAATTTGCATGCACATGACTTAAGAGTCAAGTAGTGTTACAAAGTTTGATATGAAAAACAGTAGGCTTCATTTTACTCCCATTTCTTCCTCCTAAGAGGCAACCATTTTCATCTTTCTAAGTGAATACTTTAGATATTTACCATCATATCTCTAAAAAACATGCTTCTGTTAGGCATTATCTATTGGCTTCATAACTTGGGAGGATTTAATTCCCTCAATTTTCATATACCTCTCCATCTTATCACCACACTTTCCCTTATCCTGTACATGAATATAGTTATATCAGTTAGAGCAATACTCAGTGTTTACACTATGACAATGTAAATAATTTATGATTGAGTCACATAGTGTACTAGGATAACTTTTTTGCACTGTTTTTTGTTTTTCATAGTGAAATTATCCTTTATTTGTTTAATTTCCTATGCACCTTTCTCTAAGTGAAGCCAAAAAGTTCCACCAGCTGTCCAAATCACCTCTTGGTACATTCAGATGCATCAGGCACTTATACTGATGACATTTCCTTGAAGAAATCTATCCTGAGTCTGTCTTACTTGCTCCATTGTGGGCTGGTGGGTGCCAGGTCCTTTTGTGTTAGGTGCCAGCTGCTATTCTGAAATGATCCTCCTCATCACCTTGAGGATTCTTGTGTTGTCTCCTCTGTTTCCTAAACTGCAAGTCGTTTTCTTTTTGGTTTACTTTTTGTTTTAATGGAACACATCCACCTGTAAATGCCTGAGAATGGTTGCATGACAGGTAAACTATAGCTTTAGAGATACATGTTTAAGTAGTTAAACTATAAAGTAAGACAAGGAAGTTTAGGACAGTGGTTACCTTGTGGGGCAGATAGTTTTTTGAGATTTGGTGGGGGGTACAATGGAAGCTTCTAAAGATGGCATCTTCTAAAGATGGCAATGTCCTTTTATCCCCCTAACCTGGTTGGTGGTTACATAGATGTTCCCTGCTTGATAAATCATTCAGCTATACATTTTGTTTTCTGCACTATTTTTTATGAGTGATAGAGTTGATCATAAAAAAGGTAAACATAAAAGAAAGGGTTTAAATCAACACTTGATATCTAGTAAACCTTTAATAAAGGTTAATGGTTTAATAGTTAATGGTTAATTAGTAATATTAGCTATTACTATTATTGTAAAGTCACAGTTTCAACCAATGGAGATTTTCCTACTCAAGGAACATTTAGCAACGTCTTGAGATATTTTTGGTTGTTTCAATTGGGGAACAGTGCTACTGACAGCTATTGAATTCAGGCCAAGGATCTTGCAATGCATCCTGCAGTGTACAGCACAGCTCCCCACAGCAAAAAATTATCTGGCCTCAAATGTCAATAGTGCTGAGGTTGAAAAACCTTATATTGTAAAGCATTTCATGTGGTATGTAATGCCCAGATCTCAATGAATGTTCATCCCCTACCCAGCCACAAACTTCATTCTTTTCTTATATCTGTTTACAGCTTTCTTGTCATTTACATCACTGCTTCAATGTGATAACAATGCATAGCTTCTTATTCATTCAGTCAAATATTGGATAAACTTTAACTGGTGAAAATAATGGAATGCCTAGGATTTTCTCTTAAATCGCTTGGTGAGGGTAATGTCCTATTTGCTGGCAATGAGCCCTTCTCCAGAGAGTCACTTAGATATGTTAGGCATATGCTACATCCGCCTCCTTTTCTTCTCAATGATGAGTCATTTCTTGTCTTCATGAAGCGTTTGTCTTGTAAATTCAACTATTTCATCACAGTCTGGTCCCTCAGGCAGCAGTGGCAAATGGTCAGTGGATATTATTTGCATCGTCTTTGCTTAAGCTCCAGGAACTTGGACCAATGGGTGCAATTCAAGGGCCACCGGCACATTGAGCATTCTTTTTCTGGACATATCTAAAGATCTGTTGTGCTAGAGTGACTGGCTTTCTCCAGCCACAATGATCAGATTACTAGATTAAGATAATCTCAAATAATAATAATTACAAAAATTAGACTAGATTACAGATAATCCAAAACTAATGTGTCATTGTTCTGCCCAGTTAGGAAACAACCTTGAAAAAGGAAGAAACTAAGTTTATACTTACCTATGGCATATCAATTTAATGGAACAAGTGCGAGTCAATGATTAACTTAGTTGCTCAATCAAGCTTTATTTGCCTTCAAAATATAAGTAGAATAGTACATTTGAACCTTTTAAGTCAAACAATTTTCTTGTAAGTTGTTTCATCCCTTCTCTAAACCACTCTGCCCCCCAAAACACGCTTGTTAAATGTTGGAATTCCAGAAGGTAAACTAGATACGACTTAACAACTCAAACCATCAGTTTGGACCTATTTCTGTTATCACAAGATTTTGTGCTTTTTCTTCATGGGCCTCAGGCAACAACTCTCTCCTGGAGGATTTCCCTTGATCTGCAGCATCCTGTTAGAAGCAATCCCTGGGTACAAATTTTAAACATCTATTAACGAGAGATTTTGATTATTTTAGTTTGTTTCTTTTGTGCCAGGATAAATAAAACTTCTCTTTCTCTGTAATATTATATTTGATCATTGTTCAAGACAGTTATTCATGGTACAATTAAAATAGCAAAGATTTTGGCTTAGTTGGATCTGAACTCTGCCACTTACTGATTGTGTGGGAAAATTCCCTTAACCTCACTGTGCCTAAATTTCCTCATCCGTAAAAGGAACAGGTACTTGTCATGGTCTGAACAGCTATGAAAATGGGGAGGGGGATTTCATGGGATTTTAGATGGGCAATTTCACCTAGAAAGGAATGTGGATGAGATCAGCAATTATAAACATCACTAAATAGCTAGGGACTAGAAATCATTTCCTGAGGAAGATCTGAAGACTTAAAATTTAGTTTGGCCGACTATAAAAAGAGAAAAAAGGAAGAGAAAGCAACTTTTCAAGTATCTATATGCCCAACATATGGTAGGTTACATTTACACATTTTCACCTTGTTTCATCCTTACAATCATCCTACAAGGTAGGTATTAGTTTGCTCCGTTTTCAGTTAATCCATAGACTTGCCAGAGAGTTATGCCATGGCCTAGGCCCCTAGGCCCCAAAGATGAGCTGGACACAACAGATCCTTGCTGTGGATGTCAGAAGAGAGAGGGAGAGAGAGAGAGGAAGGGAGAGGGAGAGAGAGGCAGGGAGAGAAAGAGAGAGAGAAAGAGAGAAAACCAACTTAGCAAAAGGAGCAGAATTGGAGAGTTCCTGAAGAGGACGTGATGGCACTTCAGAGTTACAAGGATGTGGACACTCTTGATGCAGGAAAATTGGTTAGTCAAGCAAGAGGAAGACAGTAAATCCTAGAGAGAAACTTGGGAGGAAGGGAGGGAGAGAGAAGGGAGATATAGAGGTAGTTGGGGGTTGGGAGAGGGGAGAGAAAGAGAGAAAGAGACAGAGAGAGGCTATGTGGCTCATGAGACGCTTGGGGAGAGAGAGTATTGTGTCTCCATGGCTGACTGAGGTCCTATTAATTCTGCATTTCTGAGTTAAGTGTATCCCTACCAGACATGTGCTGATTCAAAGATGAGATATTGGGAGGCTGAGACAGGCTACAGTGAACTATGATGATGCCACTGCATATAGCCTAGGTGACAACGCAAGATCCAGTTTCTAAAAAAAATAAAAATAAAAAGGCCAGGCACGGTGGCTTACATCTGTAATCCCAGCACTTTGGGAGGCTGAGGCAGGCGGATCACTTGAGCTCAGGAGTTGGAGACCAGCCTGGCCAACATGGTGGAACCCCATCTCTACTAAAAATACAAAAATTAACAGGGCATGGTGGCCTATGCCTGTAATCCCAATTACTTGGGAGGCTGAGGCAGGACCATGGTTTGAACCTGGGAGGCAGAGGTTGTAGTGGGCAACTCTTCACCACAAAATTGCACCACTGCACTCCAGCTTAGGCAACAGAGTGAGACTCTGTGTCAAAAAAAAAAAAGAAACATTTAGATTGTTGGGTTGTTGTACTCTGGGGTTGTAGTTAACATTATAATATTACAAACAAACAAATACACAATCCCCAGCAAGCCTCTCCTGATTGTTGACTGACAGCAAGACACTGTGCTTATAGACTACATGGATATAAAGGATAAACTTAAGATTTGTCGGCCGGGCGCGGTGGCTCACGCCTGAAATCCCAGCACTTTGGGAGGCCTAGGCAGGCAGATCACGAGTTCAGGAGATCGAGACCATCCTGGCTAACACGGTGAAACCCCGTCTCTACTAAAAATACAAAAAATTAGCCAGGCATGGTGGCGGGCACCTGTAGTCCCAGCTACTCAGGAGGCTGAGGCAGGAGAATGGCGTGAACTCGGGAGGCGGAGCTTGCAGTGAGCCGAGATTGCGCCACTGCACTCCAGCGTGGAGACAGAGCGAGACTCCATCTCAAAAAAAAAGATTTGTCCTGGGGCTTCTATCTGCATACTTTCCCACAGCTTGCTCCTAAATTCCAGGCTTTGCCAGGCCAGTGAGAATGAGTGATGGTGGGGTTCCTAATTCTGTGAAGCTACACACTGTATTCAGGCCTGTATTAGTCAGGGTTCTCTAGACGGACAGAACTAATAGGATAGATGTATATATGAAAGGGAGTTTATTAAGGAGAATTGACTCACATGGTCACAAGGTAAAGTCCCACAGTAGGCCATCTGCAAGTTAAGGAGGAAGGAAGCCAGTTGTGGGTCAGTCCAAGTCCCAAAATCTCAAAAGTAGGGAAGCTGACACTGCAGCCTTCCGTCTGTGGTCAAAGGCCTGAGGACCCCTGGCAAACCACTGGTGTTTAAGTCCCAGAGTCCAAAAGCTGAAGAACTTGGAGTCTGATGTTGGAGGGCAGAAAGCATCCAGCATGGGAGAAAGATGAAGGCGGGAAGACTTAGCAAGTCTGCTCTTTCCAACTCTTTCTGCCTGCTTTATTCTAGCCATGTTGGCAGCTGATTAGATGGTGCCCACCCAGATTGAGGGTGGGTCTGCCTCTCCCACTCCACTGACTCAAATGTTAATCTCCTTGGGCAAACTCTCACAGACACACCCAGGAACAATACTTGGCATCCTTCAATCCAATTAAGTTGACACTCAATATTAACCATTACAGGGCCCAAAGCAGAGGGTTATTAATACCTGATCAACCCTCTCCAAGCCCCTACATGTTAATTGTCTACTCTGCTCCTTTCCCTTAATGCCAGGCCAGTTCAACAAAATATTTTAACAACAAAACAATTCCCAGTGGTTGTAGCCATCACTGTGGAATTTCTCCCCACCCTTACCCCTTACCATTTGCTTGTTCTTAATTTTCTTTAGTTCTGGATCTTCATACTCTGATATCTCGGTTCTGTAACAATGAACTTGACCTCACTCCTGGTCTTCAGAGCAAGAACTTTGTAGCTGGACTCTCTAGTGTTAAAATTTTGTCTTCAGAATTTTCCTAACACCCCTGTGGTTCATCATGCTGCCTGAAGTCCCCTTGGCAGCATCTGGACCATTCATAGTTCCTTACAAGAGGAAGGGAGAACTCACATATCCTCTTGAGGTATATTTTTAACATCTGCAAGTAGTGGTGGGGCAAGTAGCTACTGAATAGGGCAGCCTGTACATTGAGTCCCTTTCTTGAATGCACTGAGATAGAAGTGAGAGGACAGAATTTAAATGAAGTAAGAATCCTGGGGTTCTTGATAGCTAGTGAATTCCCCCCGGTCACTGGAGACCTCAACAGGATACAGAAGATAAGACTGGCAAATAAGAGGTTTATCTTGATGCCCCAAATAACTTAGGTGAATGGCAGGAATGCCATCATTCTGATAAACTGATTGATTGCTTGGTTCAGTCATTAATTCTTTTGTTTATCACACATTTATTAAATACCTACCATGTGCCTGGAACCCAGATTAACAACAAATCTCTTTTGCATCCATGAAATTCTTCAGCCTTTCTTTTTTCAAAACTAAGCATTGTATACTGTGGCCAGATGTGAGGCCAAGGGTATGAACAGGAAGGCCCCATTTTCACACTGTGCTAGTGGCTGAGAAATTACCAGGATAATTAGATTTGCCTTCATTTCTTAACAGCTAGTTGCACGGTGCAATCTGAGCTCTTGTGGAGGTAGCATAAGCACTTTAGAGGACAGTTCATGTGGAAAGAGTTCTCTGCTGAAAAGATAAGACAGTCACAGAGCAGGGAGTATATCCCTTGGCTTGGCCAGTGTCTGAGTCATTCTCTATATTCAGAAACTACAGAAAAGTCTAAAACAGAATTTCACATGGTTTGTAATCTAACTTTACAGATATAATCTTGTATACAAAATGAGACTTTATAAACACATATATACAGCATTTCTGTCAGGCTTTTCCCACTAACATTATATCTTGAAAACTTTTCCACATCATTAAATAAGTTTAGAATATAATTTTAGTGGCTAAATACATTCCATTATTTGGGTGTGCCTTTATTTAACCATTTTTATTGATTTCAATTTTTTCTTTATTATAAGTATTGTCTCATGAATAATCTTTGCACCTCTGATTGTTCTTTTAGATAGACTTTTTAGTTAAAATACTGGGTTTAGGGCTTTTAACTTTTTAAAGCTTTTGGTTCCTACTACAAAAGTTTTTGTTTTTCAGGCCGAAAGTACCAAAATGCACCCCATCAGTGATGTATGCAAGTAACTGGCAAACTGTACACTCTCCAATATTGTATATTATTTAACAAATTTTCTATTATTGAAATAGTTACTGAATTATCTATTGAAGATTAAGAAGAGCTTCTTGCTAAATTTGAACGTTTATTACCCCTTTCTGAATTATTAGCCTGAGAAGTTTGAAGAGAGTGAATCAGGTGTCCAGAAAGCCATCATTACTTTCTGTGTTCTCTGATGTGACTTTGAATTGCTGCCAAGAGACATTATCAATGATTCCTGTTCTTCGCTCTCACCCCCTCAAAACTCTTGACTTGATGACATGCTGATTTTTCTCTTCTCCTTCTGGTTTATAAAGAAGTCAGAATGTACTTGGGGATATGATATGACTTGGATCTGCTGATTGGGATCTGGGAAGGGAAAGGTTACTCAGACTTTCTTATCTACACAGCATTTTGACCCTGACTTAAAATTGACCTCATGAAGACAGTCCCAACTTCAGTTTGGTGATACCTACAGATGACTTCAGTTATATTCAGGGGTGTCATGAGATTTTTTTCAGAGGCAGTTACATATAATTTAATTTGAAAATTAATTCAAATAAATCTTTTAAGAGGAGAAGAGAATATGAAATTCATGAAGTAAGATTTCTCAGCTCCCTGAAGATTGGCAAAGACTTCTTTAATGGCAAAGGATGCTTTTCTATGCTGGGTGATTTTACACTGTCAGGCTGAGGACAGTGAAGTAAGTTTGACTGAAATGGGACCACAGCTGTGATTATCTGTTTACTGAGATACTCTAGAAGTTTGGGGAACAGAACTAATTCTGGAAGCTAGAAAAGGTGCAGCTTGAATATATAATGTTGTGTCCAAATAATATGGCAACAAACACAAATATAATAATACTGGGTGGTCTGAGTGGTGGGTTTCACCCAGAAATAATGGAGATATCCTAACAGGTAGGCATAACACAGTGTGAAAACAGATGACTGTTGTGATCTTACCAAGGTGATTGTAATTTTAGGGAAGTCTTTCATAAGATTTTATGTGTCTAGACATTGTGAATATAGGACCACAGCTCTAGTTCCTTTCTACATGGAAATAATAAGGTAGTTGAAAAATTTACAGAGATTGGAATCCTAGGCAGGCTAAGGAGGAGAAGGCCAGTTACACAGATCAGGGCATGAGGTTGCCACTTCATTTAGAAAAGATGAGTTCTGAAAATAAGATGTGTAAGCGGCCAACAAACATATGAAAACGTGCTCAACATTTGCATCAGAGAGATGCAAATCAAATGAGACACCACCTCACAACAGTCAGAATGGCTATTATTAAAGGTCAAAAAATAATTGATGAGGTTATAGAGAAAAGGGGATGCTCATACACTATTGGTGGGAATGCAAATTTGCTTAGCCCTTGTGGAAAGCCACTGGAGATTTCTCAAAAAACTAAAAATAGAACTGCCATTCAACCCAGAAGTCCTATTACTGGGTGTATACCCAAAGGAAAATAGATTGTTCTACCAAAAAGACACATGCATTTATATGTTCATTGCAGTACTATCATAATAAAAACATCAGGGAATCAACCTAGGTGCCCATTTATGGTGGATTGAATAAAGAAAATATGGTACATATACATCATGAAGTACTACACAGCCATAAAAAAGAATGAGATCATGTTCTTTGCAGCAACATGGATATAACTGGAGGCCATCATTCTAAGCAAATTAGTGCAGAAATGGAAAACCAAATACTTCAGGTTCTGACTTACAAGTGGGAGGTAAACACTGGGTACTCATAGACATAAAGATGGCAACAATAGATACTGGGGACCACTAAAGCAGGAAGGGAAAGAGGGGGGCAAGGGTTGAAAAACTGTTGGGTAGTATGTTCACTACCTGGGTGATGTGAACAATCGTACCTCAAACCTCAGCATCCCACAGTATACCCATGTAACGAACCTGCACATGTACTTCCTGAATCTAAAATAAAAGTTGAAATTACATATATATTAAAAAAGGAAAAGATGAGTTCTATAACAGAGTTCATGGCCAGAGCTGCTTTAAAACCCAGGTAACAAAGTTGGGTAATGGAATGATGGGTAAGAGCTCTCATAGATAATGGGTGAGAGCTCTAGATAATCTCCCAGTTCAGAACTGGTTTGGCCCTAGGACAAGCTGGCAACTGGGGAACCAAAAGGGCCCTGCTGTGGGGTGAAGCAGTTGTACTTGGATTGGGACAAGGCAGGCCTGACACTAGACCAGGAAGACAGCACAGATAATGCAATTTATGGTTTTGTCCCTGTTTGGTATCAGCACAGCATCCTATATTTTGAATGTATAGACTAAATTATGACAATTTTTCATTCATCCCTTTTACTTTCCCTTTTCTCATCTATTTTTCAGAAGCCAATCATCAACCTCCTATTGAGGAGGAAGAAATGAGAGGCCTGAGAAGGAAAGTGCATCAAACTCCCCTTACTAACATCATACCTGTCAGGAAGGAAGCAGATGAGGGCTGTGGGGAGAGCCCATCCATCTTTTGTCCACGTGGGTGTTCTTAAAAAAGTGATTTATGATGCCAGAGCAGTCTTCCGTCATAGCACACTTAGCATTTACTATGTTCATAACAAGTTAGAAAAGTTTTGTGCAAGCAGAGCTTGGGGAAAACAACTCTGAGTTTAAGAAATTCAGTTTAAGAAACATGGAAACATACTTTTCACTCTACCCTGGTCAAAACCTGTCTACTCTTTAAAGCACATGTAATATCATGCAGTGAACAGATCATGGACCTTGGGGACCAAACAGACCTGGGCTTGAATTCTAGTTTCACTGCTTGTTAGCTGAAACTGATCCTGTTTCCCCATTCATATCATATCTACCTTACCTGATTCTGGGATTGTTTTGCATTAGTTTGTATAATTCTATTGGAAACTCTTTGTAGAGAGAAAGTATTACACAAATAAAAATGGTTACTGAGTGAAAAGAACCATCGAAATAATGAATCATCCGTTCTCCAAGCTAATCTTCCACCTCCAACTCTAACACTGGCTAAAATCTGGAGAGAAACTGGGAAATGCTTTAGGGTTCCAAATCACCAGAACTAAGTCAAAGTCAACTAAAAGTGCCATTCACAGACATCTTACATGCAGTCATATGCCAGGAAGGGAAGAATTAGCAGGAGGAGGCTTGCACCCAATCTTTCTCTTTATTGGTGCAATGCTCCAGAAAAGAAAGAAGACAAGAGACCCAGTCAAATATCCTGGTTAATATGCTAAGTGTGGACTTCTTGGAAAATAAGCTCAGTCCTTGTCAATAGAAAGCTTTTAGCAGGATTCTAGAATTCTCATCATAAACCTGGATCCACAGATTTATGGATCTTGGCTCCCTGGAAAGTGGTAGGTAAGCTTGTCACTATCTAAGCATAGATGACTTGTTCTATAAGTGATGTAAATTGTGCACATTGCTTAGAGACTCATAGGTAAATCTGAGCCTTGAGTGTTAGCCTGATGTGGCAAGAAAAGACTTTGAGGGCAGCATTGAAGGTACCAGGCCTTTCCTTGCTTTGCCTGTGCTTCATGATTATGTACATCTTTGATATCATTAGTTAAGCTTGACTGATACTGAGTAAGACCTCTGATTCATGTTAGTCTGATTTTACCACGTGATCCTCTGTGTTATCTCATATACCTTCCTTAAAAATGTGTTGAAGTCCTCAAAACGGCAATTACTTGCTCATTATTCCTTGGAGAGAGCACATGTTTTCATGGGCACTAATACAGCTGTATCCTGGACATGGCTTAATGACACAGTGGGAACACCTGCCTCCCTACATCTAATGATACAGAGAAAGAACTGACGGAAGGAGTGAAGTCCAATTCTTTTCTCAGCCCTTTCTCTACACTTGACTCCTTCTCCACTACCCTCCGAGGACCATATCCACCAGGTCTTTCTCACCAGATGCTCTGTCTCAGTTTATTACTTCATTAGGCTTCATTAGCATTCATTGAGACTAATAAAACACACTACACATCCACAGTTTGTTATCTAATCCTCACCACTCACATGCATGTAAGCATCAGTGTAAAGTTTCATGCATTGGTAGAAGTGTTGTCTTAAGAGTTTTTCATCCACAAACATTTAACTTCCTGCTGTATCCTGACTGGGGAGAAATGCATTCCTAAAACCTTTGGCAAATGGGCCTGTTATATTTTGTACTGTTCTGCTTCTATAAATTTATTCTATTATAGGTGTCCTTTGTATTAAAAAATTGGTTTGAGAGCAAAGGAAAAAATGTTTCTGCATGTGAAGAATGCCATCTTATTCCTATTTTTTAGAAGTATGTATTGAAAGCTTTGGAAGGGGAAGAGTCCTACTGAGGATAACTGTACGTCCCTTTCATTAGTCTCATTGTGCCCCTTGGAAAGACAGTAGTAAGCAATGTGGTGGGATGGTAAAACTTTAAGTGAGACAGTTTGTTAGGTGAGAGGCCCTCTCTTTTATACATAGGAACTATATGAGCTTGAGCCATCTTTTCTCCACCCTGAGCCTCATTTGTCTTATGTATAAAATTGAAATAAATGCATACATCAAAAGGTTATTGAGAAAATGTGTTGGTGAATGTGAAAACATTTTGTAAACTATAAAGCACTACAAAAAAATATTTGATATTTCAAGTAAAAAGGGCTTGATTATTTTCTGGGGTTTGTGAGTTGTCCATCTTACCCCTGCCCCCACCCCTGATCAGCAGCTCCATAAACATTTAATGTGGGAAGTTAGGCTCTATCAGGCTCTTGGCAGACCATCTGCTAAGTGAATCCTGAGATCTGTTCAAAACAGAGCAGAAATTCAAGGGACCAAGATACATATCCACAGGCATGCATACACATAGATATGCATACAATTGTATACATATATGCACATATACACAGACATCCCTTCCCCCAAATCTCAGAGCTATGCTTTTTTTTCAACCATGTAGTGAAAAAGAAAAAAAGCTGGTTGTTTCTCCCACAGCTATTTATAACACCACCTGGGAAAGCAGTTTTGGTACCTTACAAGCTGGTGTCTAAATGTTGACTTAGGAGTTAATGATGACTGGTAAGTCCAAAGGGAGAGGAGAACCAGGACAACCCCACAGAAAGGGTCATCTGGGAGTAGAAATCAGGGATAGGACTTCAGATGGCAAGGCTCTGCTGTCATCTTTGTGCAGACTTTCTGATCCCTTAGCTCTGATCCCACCTCTGTAACTTTATGCTATTATCTTATGAGGATGGTTGAGAAGAGTGAGGTCCCATCACTGAGTTTTTATGATGTTCCATTTATTCCAATAGAGGCAGGAGTCAGAGAAGCAGAATAGACTCAGCCAGCTCGCTGGTGGTCCAGGAAATTGGAATCAAGGTATTATGTGTATAAGGCCCTGACTGGGATATTTATCAGTTTAGATCTGTATAGTTTAAACCAAGTATGTATATCTAGAAGTAGTTCTAAAATTAGACTTTTCAGCAGGCAAATATTGGGTCTTGTCTAAAATAGGACCTGGGAACACTAGATGTTGAATTATGGCTGCTCTTCAGCTCAATTTCCAGACGTTTGGTACAATGGAATCAGACAGACTTTGATTCAAACCCACAAACTAGTTTTCTTTCTTTTTTTTTTTTATTATACTTTAAGTTCTAGGGTACATGTGCATAATGTGCAGGTTTGTTACATGTGTATACATGGGCCATGTTGGTGTGCTGCACCCATTAACTCATCATTTACATTAGGTATATCTCCTAATGCTATCCTTCCCCCCTCCACCCACCCCATGACAGGCCCCAGTGTCTGATGTTCCCCTTCTGTTTCCAAGTGTTCTCATTGTTCAATTCCCACCTATAAGTGAGAACATGTGGTGTTTGGTTTTTTGTTCCTGCGATAGTTTGCTGAGAATGATGGTTTCTAGTTTCATCCATGTCCCTACAAAGGACATGAACTCATCCTTTTTTATGGCTTCATAGTGTTCCATGGTGTATATGTGCCTCATTTTCTTAATCCAGTCTATCACTGATGGACATTTGAGTTGGACATACAAACTAGTTTTCACAGCCAACATGGTTAAGACCTCGGCAGTTTCTCCACCTATAAAATGTTGATAATAATAACCATTTGGGATCTTGTAGAATAAAGGGAGAAAACATTTAACAGTTGCCTGAGATGAAGTAGGTACTCACTAAATGATAATTCTTCTCCATGTCTTCCTTCCCACTTCAGGCTTCCCTTGGTGAATTTTCCCTGGACAACTCCCTCCATCCAAAACTACTATTTAGGTTTAGAGTGTTTCAAAGTCACTTGGATATGTATGCAATTGTCTTCAAGCTAATAGAGATAATAATAGTACCTAACAGTAGCTATCTCATGGGTTCATTATAAAGGATGGATGATATAATACAAGCAAAACAGCACAGAACTTGGCAAGTAGCAAGTGGGTACAGGCTAGCTAAGATCTATTACTTGTCTAATGAGTAGAGAAGACAGGAAAAAAACAGTCCTTGAGCCCCGAGTCGATTCTATTCTTCATTGTTCCCATAGTGACACACCACAAGTCAGAAATCCTGAGTTTCAAAAAGTCTTCAAAATATTGTCCCTATTCCCAGTGACCTGACACTACAGTTCAAGTCAACTAGAACCCTGTCTGTTTTCACCTGTATTGTTAGGCCTCTCTCAGTTAGATTTGTTAAGACTATTCCCCAGAAGTAGGCTGCAATGTTTCTGGAAATTCTACACAGGGCTTATTCTGTTTTGCTGGGCTTGGGGAGTAAGGATGAAGACGGGGCTGATGGTGAAACAGGAAAGGGGTGGGATACAGATTAGGTGGTGGAATCTGGAAATCCTCCATTTTACAGAGGAAGAAACATGTCCTAATTTTATCCTTTTCTTGCTCTAGCTTCAGATCATGATGCAAAGCCAAACACACCTCCCCCAACACACCTACAGCAATCTAAGGACAACACCCGGTTCCAAATTACAGCTCTGTGTGCCAATTTTTCATACTCTGTTTTCTTTAGATACTGGTATAATTGAGACTCAGTTTTTTTTTAAATTGCAAGAGAACAGAGAAAAACAGTAACATTGATAAAGAGGTTAAAAAAATTCCTACTCAGAAATGCATATTTGCAGCATAAGAAACATGCAGCTATTTTCAGGTATGTGTAGTACTGCTCCATTAAACTGTAGAATTTTTTTAATGCTTCTCTTTCTGATAATTCCCTGAATCACAATGTGTAGAGAATGGAAGTATGTTATATGAATAGTGAAACAAATTTCTCTCTGTTTTTCTTTTAGCACAACAGGAAGAAAAATTACCATTTTAAAATGCAGAAAATTGAATGTAGCCACTTTTGCAGGCTAAGGAGGATTTTATTTTACATCAAAGGAGGTGGAGAATTAGGACTCTATCTTGATGCTCTCTTTGAGGGTAAAAATTGAGCTCCCTTTCTCCCAGGGCACCATCTCAAAAGTGAGGATGGTAGATAGGAAACAGCAGGGTTCTTCTGCATAATAAACCTGATACATTGAAGGACATTCTGAATTTCTAAGGACTGCCTAGGAAGTGATTGGGTATGTGAGAGGCAAGGGAGCTAGAAGAAGAGAGACAGGTGAGAGGATGCTACAGAGAACTAACTAGAGGCCCCTAAGCTGGCAGGGAGCCAGTGCCTAACCAGGGAACACAGCCAACAAGAGACTGTGAGAGAGAAGAATGCACTTCAGAGCAAAAACATCTTACTTTCCAACATTAAGAGGGTTTCTTAAATTATTGTGGTCCCCATCCTGTTGCTTTGAACCCCAAGTAATGTTTGGTTACACAGACACTGTGCTTTGTGGGAAGAATAAGAGTGAATTCCCAAAGGGCTAATGATGTGCAGGAAGAACTCCAGTTACAGGGGAAGCGGCAAAGTGGAGATTGAGGACTCAGTAGAAGCTGGAAACTTGATCATAAAATGAGATTACCATGGGACAGGTTAAACTCTGTAACAACCCTCAGAAACATTTGCAAGGGACACTGAGGAGAGGAGCAGTGTGGGTGCTGAACTTTCCAAGGAAAGGATAGAGGCTCTGGCAGTTCTGTTTGAAAATTTGTGGACACATAATTCCCAGAAGGTCCCCCAGAGGCAGCTGCTGTGTGTGTGTGTGTGTGTGTGTGTGTGTGTGTGTAGGGTAGAATACTTGGGTAAGGCAATTAACAAATGCTGACACCTTTTCCATACTTATCACTTCACACTTGAGAGAGCTATTTTGTATAAGCCACAAGTCTGAAAGAGAGTCTCAAAGCCTTGATGTGTGCTTCTTGACCGCTGTAGGGGGAGAAAGGTGTGATACTTTCCCTCATCCATCACAGCCAACACTCCTATAACAAAAGGCATGTTGACAAAAGAAGAGCATAACAAATTTATTTACTCTAAGTTTTATATGACATGGGACCCTTCAGCAATGAACACTCAAAGACCCAGGGAAGACTGTCTATGTTTATGCTCAGGTTCAGTGAAGAATGGGGAGCCATGGAAACATGTGATTGGACAAAGGGACATGATCTAATGGTAACAGACTGAAGAGGGAAACACAGCAAGACCTGTCTCTTCAGATTCTTCTTGGCCTTTCTCTGTAGCATTTTACCCCCTCCCCCAGCCTCCCCGCCATGAGGCAGGATCTCTCTGGAATAAGGTTCTTCAAGGCAGAAGGTAGAGAATGACCCTTCTAGGTTTTATGTATGGGTTGCTTTGGGGAAGAGGTCTTCTAATTTCTATTACCCATCTTGTGGAAGAGGAATTCTGGTTTCTATGGCTCATTTTGGGGAAGAAAGAGGGGTGGGAGACAGGAGGGCAGGAGAAGGTCAGAGAGACTTTCTCAGTATGTCAAGGTGCCATATTTTTGTGTATCATATTCTGAGCCCCAACACAGTAAACTATCCCATGTTGCTACATTAGATGCAATCTAAATGAGCAACGCAGATATGACAGGTCAGGGGTAAAATAATTTTGTAGATAAACTTATAATCCTTTTATAAAAGAGGGTCAATTACATTCTTCTTTTCATTCTGCAACTGTGCTATAGATTCCTTTGCAGGGCTGCTGTGTAGACTCACGCTTTTTTGTGTACTGCAAGACGACACCTGGTCAAAGCCAGGAATGAGAGGCTGACATCAGCCTTCAGTCAGCTCAGATGTTGCGTGTCTGTCAGCTAATGGGGGACCAGAAGGTTGAAGGTAAAAATGCATGAGCTTATTGTCATTTTTCTTTTTATTTTACTTCTTTTGTGTCTTTTTGCAAATCTTCAGTGCTCTTTGCACATGTCTTCCGAATATTCTTATTGACTAGTCAAATCTTTAAACTCAATTATTCTGTCATCACTAAGGTGACATTTTTCAATCTCAAATTCTAAAAAAAGATACTATGAAACACTAGACGATGTATCCAATTGGCAAGTTCTTGTGTTTTTCTTAAGGGAAATAAAGCTATTATTCTATGGGAGGCTTGGAAAATGAAAATTTTCTAATAAGAACTCCTATCATATCTATTGTTTGCACTACTTATCACAGGCAGATTTACTTTAGAATTATATATATTGCAACTTGATCTTCCCAGCTAGGTGAGAAGGAGCCATGCTTTATTTACACTGTAAGGTTGGGAGGACAAAGAGATTTCACCTTGATACAATTGGTAGTGGCTGCCTAGAGCAGTATGTTGAGAAAAATGGTGAGGTTGTGTTCGAGTTGGCTCAGTAAGGGACTGCCACAATCAATTAATGATGCCTGCTGTGGGAATGAAAGAGTGGAGGATGCATGTATTATCTGGTCCTATTGTAGGTACTTTTTATAGGATCAACAGAATAGGTAGTCAATAGAACTTTATTTCATTTCATAAATAAAATCCATAACTATCAAAAGAGTTCTAGAATTATCACACTACCCCATCTTCTCTCTGTAGAGGACAAGGAAAAGTATATACCCAAGACCATATTACCATTCAAACCATGACATTCTTGATAGTCATAGGGGGCTGTATTAATAATTACACTGGGAAAGTAGATGTACACTGGGGTTGTTGCTGGTAAAGAAGACTTGCCTCAGGGTTAACCCCTCTAAGAAGCCTTCTTTCAGTCTACCTTTCAGGTTAGGTCTGTGCTTCCAGTAATATCCTATTCATATTTTGATCATGATGCTTATCATACTCTGTTATACTTAACTGTTTTCTCATCTGCATCTCTCATTAAATATTCCATTTTTTGAGAGGATCAAAGTAAAAATCAGATATGAATCTACTGCACATAGAAATACATACACAATATACTATAGACTAAATGTTTATGTCCCACCAAAATTTATTTGTTGAAACCCTAACCCCTAATTTGATGATATTTGGTGGTGGGGCCTTTGAGAGATGATGAGGTCATGAAGGAAGGGCCCTTATGAATGAAATTAGTGCCCTTATAGGAGAGACCCCAGAGATCTTCCTCACCTCTTCTACCATGTAAGGACATAGCAAGAAGACAGCCATCTATGAACTAGGAAATGGGTTCTGTCTCCAGACACCAAATCTGCTGATGCTTTGATTTATGGCATTCCAGCCTCCATAACTATGAGAAATAAATTTCTGCTGTTTATAAGCCACCCAGTCTGTGGTAGTTTGTTATAGCAGCCCAAACAGATTAAGACACAATAGGTGCTCAATTAACGTTAAATGAATAAAATTCTTGTTACTCAAAGTAAAGTCACAAGGCCTTGCCCTCTACCTATTTCCCTCCCAACTTCCTTTCTTTAATATAAAAGAGTCTAAAGGCAGAAAGGGGGAGAATAGAGTTACTAACAAGTTGTTCTTCAGTCTGCTACCACAACATAAATGTTTTATTTCCTGAGGAATTTTCGGATACTGAAGCACTCTGCATTCATTGTCTTGCTTTACTTCTTCACTGTCCCATGAGAGCATGGCTTCAGTACTCTTGTCTGCATTCAACAGATATGAAAGCTGAAGACTATTTGGTTATACTCAGGCTCTACCTGTATACCTAAGGTGATACAACTACTTAGCAGTGGCAAACAGTACTAGGATCTAGGTCTTTTGGTTCCAAATGCAGTATGCAACTTGCTGCTGTTACTTAGAAAACTTAGTAAACATCATATGAGAACACTTTTTATACCTCCTTTGGTTCATCAGTGTTGGCAGACTCAGTAGGAAATGAACTTAGGAAGAAAAAGTCTGTGAAAATGGTGACATTCATAAGATGCCAAAGAAGACAGTAGAGGGCTACAGGCCTCCATTTGTAACCTGCCTGGTTATATCAATTAGGAAAAGTCATAATGAAGCTTCTAGAATCAAATAATAATAGGAGACAGGGTCAACAGGCGAAGCTGAGATGCTAGAGGTACATGCAAAGAACAAAGTCAACTCTTCTTGCTCAGAGCAGCATAGGAAACAGGTAACGATAATTTTGGAAGATTGACTGCCTTATGAAGTTCAGAAAGTTCAGGTCCAGAAGAAGAGTGACTGTAAGGAACATTGTGTCAGACTTCAGAAAGACTGACAACAAAAATAGTCCACTCTCTCAGATACAGCTCTCATCCTCCTGCTTCTTGGTGGGAACCAATGCCCAGCAGAGAGCAGCTTGAGGTCTTTTAAATGATGATGACTGCTAGCAACTGGCTGAATGATGAACATGGCTAAGGGAGACAGCTGAAGCTCCTGGCAGAACATTTTCTCAGACACCCCGTTTTCGAGGAACAGGGAGGGTTACAGAATCAAAGACTCAGAAGAAAATATCGGAGTTGGGAGGATCCACAGCATATTAAGAGTTAGAGTCATATATATTGATGATGGCGTCATACCTTATCCTGTTTCACTGAGCGGTCAAATTTGGAACCATCTCATGATCAGATTATAAATCCTCCTTTTTTACTTTTTAAGGTTGCTCTGATTGGGCATTGGCTTTGCTAATCCTTTAATAACCCCAGTGCTTCATCCATTCACTTATTCATTTCTCTCCACTCATCCCCCCATACCCAAGGAGTTCCAACCCAGTTATCAGACTCTATTGCAAGCTTCTACCCACCGGATTCGGGGTACAGTGACTTGCTGCTGTTGGTGCTTTTCTTTACTCCCATTTCAGTGGTGGTCACATTGTCCGTATTTTCTTCACTAATGGAAGGTGATTATGAAGTTGAGATATCATTTGACAGCTCATGGTTGGTAATGTTTTATTTTTGTTTTTTCTCATTTCCCACTCTGGAGCCACCAATGAAATACTAATGGGCCCTGTGGGAGGTTTTCCTTTATTTAACAGCTAAATGTGTTCAACGATATAAGGTATTGCAAAAAACATACTCAGAGAAGGAAAATTAAAATGAATAAGGGGGAACTGGGGTCTCAGGACAAGGAGTGAGAAAACTCATGAAGCATCCTTTGTAAGTCTGAGACAGGATAAGAGTGGAGGTTGTAAAATCTCAAACGATATGGAAAATCTTAATATGAATTCGTTCACCAAAATTTCCTAAGAAGTCGGAAGAGCCAATTCCAGGATCACTAAAAAAAAGGCACGATTTCATGCAGCAGGGAGTAAACATATGAGATTTGTAACAAGAGGTAGTAGAGCTGAAATACTATTTCTCTGCAAGGAAATAGATGCATTCACTGGCAAAGTCTTCCTTCAAATTATTAGGGGAACCGAAGGGCGTTTGAGCTAAATCACTAATTCAGATGCTGACATAATGGAAGACTATGACGACCTTCAAAACACATTTCTTGGAAGTCATTCTGAGAAACTAAAATCTAGGTTGATAAATTGTGTTTCTGAACTTAACAGTTTATTATTGGTGTTATCAATGATGTTACTATTTCATAAAAATATTTCATAGGCTCATTCTAAGAGATTCCAAAAAATCGAGGCAGTTTATTTCAATAAAGGCCCTCAGATGTTATAATTCTTTAACTGTTTCATGGTCAAAATAACTTCTTTTTTCCTCTACACTTGTAGAACACCTTGTTTCAAGGTAGTCTTGGGTCAGGGTTTCTTGGACTCATAACTTTGTAGACATTGGTCATTGACTTCTGTCATTAAATTTTGCTGTGAAGATTGTGAAGTCAGCGTCTATTTTTCATTCTCATGACTTGCTTTTTTCTCTACTAAATACCTGAATAAATTTTTTTTAGCCTCAGAGTTCAATAACTTATTATTTCAATAATTCTCTCACAATTATTAATTTCTCCTGGAACATTTTGTGTCCTTTCAGTATGTAATTTTTTTTATTTCAAGGAGAATCTCTTCTACTATAACTTTTAATACTTTTTCTGTCCTATTTATTGCATTTTCTATTTCTGGAATAATAATATGCCTTATGTTGGGCCAGTTTTTTCTTCTGTTCTTTGCACCTATTATCTTTTTTTCTTATTATTCTGGGCTGTTTATCTTTTTTTCACTCTGTGTTCACTGTGATTAAGTCTTCCTTATATTTGTAATTGTTTTCAGCTGTGTCTATTATACTCCTTGTTCCATGATGGGTTGTTTTGGTCCTTAGCTTGTTTCCTTATCTTTGCAATCTCAATTTTCCTCTCATCCAATTTAAAAAAATCTTTTGTTTGTGGTCTTATTTTACTGATTTCATTTTCTGTAGAAACCTATAGAAAGATGATTGCATGCAGTACTGTTGGAGAATTTTCTTCCAAGTTAGTTTTGTTTTTTAAACAATTTTTGGCATTTCCCTCTATCTTCTGTCTTGCTTTCTCATTTGGCTGTAGTATATTCTCTTAATGCCACACTCTTACTCTTCATCTTCCATGCAACTCTACGCAGAGTTTCCATTTGTTCTAATAATGTGGACTGATTCTCCTTGACTCTTTTCTTACTCTATCAGTGACTTCTTTGTCTACATTTTCTGAGCTGCTTCGAGGTGTGCATATTGAGTTCTAATTATTTAAAAAAATAGCAGTGGGAGAGATTTTGGGGAGTTCTTCTGGGGCAATATGTGACCTTAGAAGGACCTGGAACTTCTCTTTCTTCTGAGACTTTGTCAAATGTCTTGTCAAAACAAGACATTTGACAAACAAACTTGGTATTTAACAACAAATCAGGACTCGTTGCCCTTGGCTGGAGCTGTTTTCTATTCTTGTGGTGGGGAGACAGGGCAGAGATATCATCTTACTTTAGATAAGTCCTCCAAGTCAGTGTGGCCCTTACTTACATCATCCTGGTTGTTTCACATTGCCATTTCTACTCACCTGTCTTTCCCTCATAGCCATTTCTAATCCTACCAGTAGAAGAATAAAAATAAAACAGTATCAGAAGACTTCATTTCTCATTCACAGTTCTGAGGGGAGAAGTGAGTTTTCCTCTGTTCTCAGTGTACCCACTTCCACACCCTGAAACATGATTTTGGGGTTTTTTTTCATGCTCTGTTAAATCCCTATTATTATTGGGGATGGTTAGATCTGGGTGGTTCTGGCCACTTTGACTTCCTTCTTTCTTCTCTCAGCCTGGGGATGCCCAAGTGGAGAGTGTGAAGTGCTAGGAATTCCTCCCATTCCTTGGAGTTGCCGTGGTGATAGGCACATGTGTTGAGAGCATTTCTATGCCGTCCCCCACATTGCTGACTCGTTGGGGGCTCACTTGGGGACTGTTAGTGATAGTACTCACGTCTGTTGATTTCTTTCTTTCACTCAGCACTTATTCTGCTAAGCTGCACTGGAATTATCTTCTTCATTCCTTGGCTCAGCTGCCATTTTTAAAGTTTATATAATAATGTTGGTTGTAGGTAGTTCTTTTAACTTTTTAATAAGGTATTTTTACTGTTGTTATTATGGTTATGTCTTGGGAAGAGGAAAACCTATGACCTGCCCTTTTACTTGCCAGAACACTTCTCTTGTTACAAATCATTGTTTTTATTCATTTTAGAGGTGCTTCTAGATGGGTGTTTGTAGCAACAGTGACAGTTTAATGATATGTTACAAAAATTGGATTGAGGGAAGGTAAGGTTGTTTAACACTAGTGTTCTAGATATAGTCCTCTGGGGTTCTTCCCAGATGCTAGGAAATATTCTGACTGAAAGTTCATCCAGGAAAACTTTTCTACCTTTGGGGAATATCCACATGGAACAGTAAAAATGGCTTAAAATCAAAAGGGTGTAGTAGAAAAACCGCAAGACTTTCTTCCCCCTAAATAGGCTCAGCCTCAATTCCACACACATATGTGATTTTGGCCAAGTTCTTAAACCTCTTTAGGATTCAGATTTCTTATCTGTAAAAGGGAATGGTATCCCTTATTATACAGACTTATGTGGAGGATTAAATGAGACGACATGTGCATTCAAAGAATCCAATCTAGCATCTAACACTACTTGGGTGCTGGGAAATGGTAGTTTCTTTCTTTGTTTCTCCCCAACTGCCTACCCTACCCCCATTGTCCTTTGTGATCTGCAGATATGGCCACCTAATCTGAGCTAATAGGGTAGAGACCACTTTGCTCAATGAGGAAATGAGTCTGGGAACCTGATAGACATCTTATGTTTCATGGATGCTTTTCCCACCTTATAAAATGATCTCCTTTAACATAAAGATTATGAAGTGAGATCAGATGGTTGGCAGGTGGTAAACTATTTGCTTTCTGATACATCCCAATATAAAAGGTTATGCTTTCCATTAAAATTGAATTCGTGTGAAATCCAGGAAGTCATCAAAAGTGATTATATACTAAACTAATTGTTCTCCCAGCAAGAGCTCTTGACAAGGCCCAGTAAGAATGAATACTTATTAATAAAATGTAGGTACAGAAGGCTGAAACATTTCATTTTAGATGATTGCAGTAGGCATAATTTTTTTGTTTGCCCCCAGCCATGCATGAGGAAAAGGAAGAGTCACGCAGAGAACTGGACTGACAGAGGCACTGTAGGGGACGACAGGGGTGTGTCTGAATTAGAACTCAATACTTGACTTGAATGCCAGCTTGAGAAGTGCCCCACATTGTGTTATGGCCATGGTTACCTCCACTGAGTGAGAGAGATAGCTTGAAAAGCCCAAAGAGGGATGGATGAGCTGGCATGGCATGCAGCTTGTGGCTGCAGAGACAATTAGAGACAAGTTACAGCAGAAACGCAACTGCCACTCCCTTTGTGGGATTATGAAATTGAGCCAAATGTGTAGAAAGTGCTCTCACTCTGTGTAGCCGTTGTTGCCTTTCCTGCAGGAACGATCTGGAAATCTTGGGAAGAACCCACTGTTCATAGGTAATAACAAGCCACAGCAAATTGACACTTTCATTAATACAATGTGTAATGAAAGATGAGCCATACCTAATTAGACTTCTGATTAGCCAGTGGATCACCAGATAACCCCATTTGCTTTCAAAACTTGATTCTATACAAATTATCTGTTTTCTACTAAATAAACTAGGTAATGAAGGAACATACCTCAAAGTAATAAGAGCCATCTATGACCAACTCACAGACAACATTATACTGAATGGGCAAAAGCTGGACACATTCCCCTTGAAAACCAGCACAAGACAAGGATGCCCTCTCTCACCACTCCTATTCAATGTAATTGGAAGTCCTAGCCAGAGCCATCAGGCAAGAGAAAGAAATAAAGGTAATCCAAATAGGAAGAGAGGAAGTCAAACTATCTCTGTTTGTAGACAACATGATTCTATATCTAGAAAACCCTTTGTTTTCTAAAATAAAAATAAAACAGTATCTGAAGATTTCATTCCCATTCATAGTTCTGAGGAGAGAAGTGAGTCTTCCTCTGTTCTAAATGTACCTTCTTCCACACCCTAAAGGCACGTTTGGGGTTTTTTTTTTTTTTTTTTTTGTCATGCTCTGTTAAATCCCTATTATTGTTGGGGATGGTTAGATCTGGCTGGTTCTGAAAAGTTAGCCTCAGCCCAAAAGATCCTTCAGCTGATAAACAACTTCAAGTTTCAGGATGCAAAATCAATGTACAAAAATTGATAGCATTCCTGTACACAAACAACAGCCAAGCCGAGAGCCAAAAGAGAAATGCAATCCCATTCACAATTGCCACAAAAATAATAAAATACCTAGGAATACAGCTAACCAGGGAGGTGAAAGATTTCTATGATGAGAATTATAAAACACTGCTCAAATAAATCAGAAAAGATACAAATAAATAGAAAAACATGATATGCTCATGGACGGGAAGAATCAATATTATTAAAATGGCCATACTGACCAAAGCAATTTACAGATTCAGTGCTATTCCTATCAAACTACCAAAGACATTCTTTACAGAACCAGAAAAAACTATTTTAAAATTCATATGGAACAAAAAAGAGCCCGAATACCCAAGGCAATCCTAAGCAAAAATAAAAAAGCTGGAGGCATCATGTTACCCAACTTCAAACTATACTACAGGGCTACAGTAACCAAAACAGCATGGTACTAGTACAAAAACAGGTACATAGACCAATGGAACAGAATAAAGAGCCAAAAAATAAGGCCACACACTTACACTATCTGATCTTCAACAAAGCTGACAAAAAACAAGCGACAAGGAAAGACTTCCCTATTGAACAAATGGTGCTGGGATAACTGGCTAGCCATATGCAGAAAGGACCCCTTTCTTACACCATATAGAAAAATCAACTCAAGATAGATTAAAGACTTACAGGTAAAACACCAAACTATAAAAACCCTGGAAGACAATCTAAGCAATACCATCTTGGTCATAGGAACGAGCAAAGATTTCATGACAAAGACACCAAAAGCAATTTCAAAAAAGCAAAAATTGACAAGTTGGGTCTAATTTAACTTAAAAGCTTCTGTACAGCAAAATAAGCTATCAATGGAGTAAACAGGCAACCTACAGAATGGGAGAAAATATTTGAAAACTATGCATCTGACAAAGGTCTAATATCCAGCATCTATAAGCAACTCAAATTTACAAGAAGAAACAAACAACCCCATTAAAAAGTGGGCAGAGGACATGAACAGACACTGTTCAAAAGAAGACATACATATGGCCAACAAGTGTATATTAAAAAGCTGAATATGGCTAATTATTAGAGAAATGCAAATCAAAACCACAATGAGATACCATCTCACACCAGTCAGAATGGCTGCTATTAAAAAGTCAAAAAATAACAGATGCTGCTGAGGTTGTGGAAAAAAGGAAACACTTATATACTGTTGGTGGGAGTGTAAATTAGTTCAACCATTGTGGAAAGCAGTATGGTGATTCCTCAAAGAGCTAAAAGCAGAACGACTGTTTGACCCAGCAATCCCATTACTGGGCATATGCCCAGAAGAATATAAATCATTCTATCATAAAGACACATGCATGCAAATGTTCATTCCAGCACTATTCACAATAGCAAAGACATGGAATCAACCTAAATGCCCATCAATGACAGATAAAGAAAATGTGATACATATACACCATGGAATACTATGCAGCCATAAAAAGAATGAAATCATGTCTTTTGTGGGAACATTAATGGAGCTTGAGGTTATTACACTTAGCAAAATAACACACAAGAACAGAAAACAAAATATCTCATGTTCTCACTTGTAAGCGGGAGCTAAATGATGAGAACTCATGAACGCAAAGAAGGAAACAGCAGATACTGGGGTCTACTTGAGAGTGGAGGGTGGGAGGAGGGAGAGGAGCAGAAAGATAACTATTGGGTACTGGGCTTCATACCTACGTGATGAAATTATCTGTACAACAAACCCTTGTGACATGAGTTCACCTATGTAACAAACCCGAACAGGGTTCACATGTACCCTGAACCTAAAATTTAATTTAAAAAAAAAAAAAAGAAAACTTTGCCAGAAAAGATTGCAAAGCCAAAAAAACCTGACCTAATTATATGTTTCATTGCTTCCATAATTATATTACTCTGTACATAATAACATTTGCAATGAGGATTTTGTTCTTAATTCACTCTGAAGAAACACTATCAGCATTGAGATTGTTAAAAGCACCAAGCTTTAAAGGAAACCCTACTGGGCTCAGAACACACCCTTAGAAATATTTCGTCCTTCTTAAGTTGTGGGCTCAATTGTGTCCTCCCACAACTCATATGTTGAAGTGCTAACCCCTAGTGAGAATGTGACTATATTTAGTTATAGGTAATTGAGTTAAAATGAGGTATTTATGCTGGGCTGTAATCCAATAAGATTGCTGTTCTTTCTTCTAAGAAGAGGAAAGTTGGCCACAGACACATGCATGCAGAGTGAAGATGATGTGAAGACACAGGGAGAAGATGGCCATCTACAAACCAGGGAAAGAGTTCTGAAACAGATTCTTCCCTCACAGTCCTCAAGTGGGAACCAACTCTGCTGACACCCTGATTTCAGACTTGTAGCCTCCAGAACACTGAGGCAATATCTTTCCGTTGTTTAAGCCCCCCGAGCCTGCGGCACTCTGTTACAGCATCCCTGGCAAGCTAATACATGCACTTTCCAGTTTTTCCTCTAATACTGACTTCTCTGGCCTTGTTTCCTTTTTCCCTTCTTTCACCTCATCTGTCTCTCTAGTATTCATTCTAAACTGTGCCCCTTTCTTCCCATGGTTAGGTATGAACATCAATGGGAGTGAAATTGAAAGATGAGAGGAAATTCTAATACATGAAGTTTCTGGTTACTTGTAATTGAAGTGAGGGATAATTTCAGTTTTAATAAAATGTATTGCTTTAAATATCAACTTCCTGCAAATGACCACTTGATAATATTTATATTACTTTTATCAGGAAATCAGGCAGCTTTCTAGGGATCTTATGTTTGGTAATAATAGCAGAGAACATCAGAACAATGAGGTTTTAAAGAATAAAATTTTTAGACACACTTTAAAACCCTACTTTAAGACCTTTTCACTTTTAAAACTAAAAACTGATCATCCAACACTAATAAGGTGGAAGACTAAATTATACTGTTGAAGAAGTGGGAGAGTAAAATTTCATCAGTTAAGTGAGTATGAAATTTAAAGGCTTTAAAATGTGTCTTTAAAACATTCTCTTTCAGCTCATAAATGTAAAAACAATATAAAGCTCAATTTGGGTTCCCCTTAAAGTCGACCCTAAGTCAAGGATTTTTGTTAAGTGATTTATCTGGAAGTTGATCCCAGGAAGCAGAAGTTGGGGACAGGGCAGTAGACCCAGGGGTCAGAAATCCAATAGAGATTTTTTAATGAGTGGGTGATCACTATGTGCACAAAGGGCTCAGTCTCAATGAGGAGCCTCGGAGAGACTATCTAGAACACACCTTAGCATTGTCCCATGAAAGGACAAGGAAGTTGGAATATTTATACACAATTTCCATTTACCCTTGGTTGAGAGTCACTCTTGGTGGCATTGACTTGCTTATATTTTGGCCTGCTCCATGCTGGTGGCCAGAGGATGCTGTCTGACACAAATGTAGGCAGTTATCTCTGTATGCCAACTGTCCACAGGTGGTCTCAGACTTGGGCAGAGGAAGCTTGGTGAGGGGTGGGAAGGGAGGATACCAACAGCATTTGCTACAGTTAAGTAAAACCCATAGTCAAATAATGCTATACATTTGAACTGTCCAGGTATTTTTGAATTAACACTAAGTGATCCCCAAGTCACATGGATTTTTGCCTTGTGAATATCTGAAATCACCCAGTTCATCCATCCTCACTGTCACCACATGGGTTTAGGCCACCATCATTTTTCACCCAGATCACTATCCATCCCTGCCTCCAGTCTTGCTCATCATCAGTCAATTCTCCACCCAGCTGCTAGAGGGAGTTTTCTAAGGTGGAAATGAAGTCACGCCAGTCCTCTTTTAAAAATCTCCAATGACTCCTTGAAGTCTACTCTTCCATGACCTGCCTCCCTCCTGTCTCTTCCCTCTCATGATTCCCACTGGACTTATGCCACTGAGTCAACAACCAATCTCTGTTTCCATCTCCAGACTCACCTCGATCTTCCTCAGGCCTCTCTCTTCCATCTCTCTCCCAACCATCTCTACTTCTGGATTTTTATGCACACAATCCTTCCTTTGCCCTTTCCTTCTCCCTTACTCCCATTTTTCTGACTGCCTCTTACTGACTCTTCATGTCTGAGCCTAAATATGATCTCTACAGGAAATTTTTCCTTTTCCCTAGACCCTGTTAACTCCCCCAGACTTCCACTGCCATAGCAGCTTACAAATTCTCTATACAATTTCACTATATTTTATTAGAGCTGTTTCATGTCTGCCACCCATGAAAATATCAGTCTATCTGTTTTTGGCTTTATATCTTCAGTGACTAACAGAGTACTTGACACATAACAGGTGCTCAGTGTCTATTTGTTGAGTGAAGGACAATGTTCAACATTTATTTTTGATTCAGTGCTTCTATGATTCCCCGAAGGAGGCATTCAGGAAGAATAAATGAACCTCAAATAAATAAACTTGCTACTTGTGGCAATTTTAATTAGAGGCTGTGAATTGTAGTGTCTGTGTACTACTGTTCCATGTTTTTTATGGATGAGAGAGTACTTAGCAAACACAAATGGGGTTTGATGTCTAGTTGATTTGATATCTGTAAGAAGCAAAGGTATTATGTATTGAATCTCTTCCTACAAACCTGTAATCTGAACCACACTCTTAAATGACCTGACCAATATCCTTTTTATCCTACTTGTGGTGACTTTAATTGTAAACCTTGCTAATATTGGTAGGAAACAACAGGTGCTGTTTTCTAAGGTGGAAATGAAGTCACTCCAGGTGCTGGAGAGGATGTGGAGAAATAGGAACACTTTTACACCGTTGGTGGGACTGTAAGCTGGTTCAACCATTGTGGAAGACAGTGTGGCGATTCCTCAAGGATCTAGAACTAGAAATACCATTTGACCCAGCCATCCCATTACTGGGTATATACCCAAAGGATTATAAATCATGCTGCTATAAAGACACATGCAAACGTATGTTTATTGTGGCACTATTCACAATATCAAAGACTTGGAACCAACCCAAATGTCCGTCAATGATAGACTGGATTAAGAAAATGTGGCACATATACACCATGGAATACTATGCAGCCATAAAAGAGGATGAGTTCCTGTCCTTTGTAGGGACATGGATGAAGCTGGAAACCATTATTCTCAGCAAACTATTGCAGGGACAAAACACCAAACACCACATGTTCTCACTCATAGGTGGGACTTGAACAATGAGAACACTTGGACACAGGAAGGAGAACGTCACACACCAGGGCCTGTCGTTGGGTGAGGGGAGGGGGGAGGGATAGCATTAGGAGATATACCTAATGTAAATGAGGAGTTAATGGGTGCAGCACACCAACATGGCCCATGTATACATATGTAACAAACCTGCATTTTGTGCACATGTACCCTAGAACTTAAAGTATAATAATAAAAAAAAATTGGTAGTCTGGGGTTGAATAGTAAAATCTCTGAGATAATAAAGGCAGAGAGGATGTTTCTGTGGTCAGTTTAGAAAGAGTCATGTTTCTGCCTAAGGCAGATAACTTTTTAAATTCGGGACAAATCTGAGAGCTACCCTTTCTATCCTGAAAGAGTGGAATGTTAAATGTTATTTCACTGATGCAGAATAGATGAAATAAAGTGACTTCCAGTTAGAGAAATATAGGAATGGAAAACTAGGTCAAACAGAGAGAAGCCATTCCCAAGGCAATGAGCAACAGCATTTGGATTTAGCAGAGCATGTTTGAATAACTGCTCTAAAAAATAGTCAATAAAGCCTCTGCATTAAGAAATGTAACTTCGAGTGGTTACTAATCAAGAGAATAAAAATTTTCTGCCAGTCATGGTAAGGCAGCCATGCTATGAGGACTGTTACATCACAGAATGATGCTGAGAAGAAGCTCATTAGAACCCATATAATGTAAGAAGATAGCATATCCAGGCCAGACCACACTGAAGGAAATTCACTTGGTTATGCCTACTTCCATGCCTGGAACTTTTGCTTAGGATTTTTGCAGTTTCTGGGAAGGAGGCTGTCTTAGACAATTTTCCTCTGCTATTACAGAAGACCACAAACTGAGTTATTTTTAAAGAACAGCAATTTCTTTGGCCGACAGTTCTGGAGGCTGGAAAGTCCAAGATCCAGAGGCTGCATTTGGTGAGGGCTTTTTTACTGCATTATAACATGGTGGAAAGGCAAAGAAGTATGTGAGACAGAGAGAGAAATGGGGTCAAAGTGGGTTAGTTATCCCAGGAGAGGGTTCCTGATAAAAGAAACTCAGTCCTGGGATAACTAATCCACTTCCATAAAAATTAACACCTTTATGAAGGCTCCACCCTCATGACCTAATCACCTCTTAAAGGCCCCATCTCCCAATACTGTTACATTGGTAATTAAATTTCAACATGGGTTTTGGAGAGGACAGTCAAATCATAGCAGAGGCAATGGAACTCAAACATGATACTATGAGTATATATTCTTTATACTGCAGTTAGTGATATAGTAAAACATATAGAGATCTCATCTTCTAATGGGGGTTCAGTTATACTCAAATAAGTCTTCTGTTATTTTCATAAAATTCCAGCATTTAAAAAATATACATAAAAACTGAGTGTTACCAAGATGTTGAATCCTCAAATGGGCAAAGCCATACAAGTAATTCCTCCTCTCCACTCGTCCAGAATCCCAAATAAACTTCTGTTTGCATCTGAAATGATGGGTAGAAGAAGAGTTATGCCATCTGGAACTTACGTTCTTATTGGGCAGAGGTAGTATCTTGCCCAATAAGATGGTATGTCCCATACCATCTCAGCATATATGGATATACAACATATGCCCTGTAAATCACTATGAATGTAGTCATGGAAAAATATGTAGTGACAAATGCAGACTCATTATTAGCTGTAGCCAGCACCCATCTCTCTCTTTTTAATGATATTCCAAATTGTATTCAATAAGCCATACTTCCCTGCACAACCCAATTATTTGGGGAGTGGGAAGCTTAAGCCATCAGCATATTATATTACCCTGGTCCCTGTACTGGCTCTTTACTGGCCATGTGGCCTAAGTGATCTAATCAGAACAAACCTTGGAACTTTTGCTTAGGGTTTTTGGATGGGAGTGTTTTCTCTCACCCCTTGGACCTGTGGATGTGTAGCCTGAGCAGTTGCAGCTATATCACAGTATGCCAGAGAAAACAGAACCAGAGTTACTGGATAAAACCATCTTTGATAATTATCTTGTCTCTGGATTCTTCTAGCTACATAAGCCAACCAATCCTTGATTGTTTAAGCTAGTCTGCATTCATTGTTCCTTATAACCAAAAATATTCCAACTTGCTTTCTTGTATACTAGTACTAAGAATTATGAAAATTTGTTTTGGGGTTAAAGCATGCAAGAAGAATAACAACATATTATTTATTAATTCAACAAATATTTATTGAGAGTCTACTGTGTACAAAGCTCCATTCTAGCCTCGGGTATAGAATGGCAGATGAAATAGGTAGTAAGTTAAGGAATACAGACAATTAAGCCAGCAAATACAATACAAGGTGGTAAATGCTATAGTAGCATAAGTATAGACTACTGGTAGGCATATAACAAGAGCATATTATTAAGTGGGTCCCTGACCCCCGAGTAGCCTAACTGGGAGGCACCCCCCAGTAGGGGCAAACTGACACCTCACATGGCCGGGTACCCCTCTGAGACAAAACTTCCAGAGGAACGGTCAGGCAGCAACATTTGCTGTTCACCAATATTCGCTGTTCTGCAGCCTCCGCTGCTGACACCCAGGAAAACAGGGTCTGGAGTGGACCTCCGGCAAACTCCAACAGACCTGCAGTTGAGGGTCCTGACTGATAGAAGGAAAACTAACAAACAGAAAGGACATCCACACCAAAACCCCATTTGTACGTCACCATCATCAAAGACCAAAGGTAGATAAAACCACAAAGATGGGGAAAAAACAGAGCAGAAAAAATGAAAATTCTAAAAATCAGAGCGCCTTTCCTCCTTCAAAGGAACGCAGCTCCTCACCAGCAATGGAACAAAGCTGGACGGAGAATGACTTCGATGAGTTGAGGGAAGAAGGCTTCAGACAATCAAACTTTTCCAAGCTAAAGGAGGAAGTTCGAACCCATGGCAAAGAATTTAAAAACCTTGAAAAAAGATTAGACGAATGACTAACTAGAATAACCAATGCAGGGAAGTCCTTAAAGGACCTGCTGGAGCTGAAAACCATGGCACAAGAACTACGTGACGAATGCATAAGCTTCAGTAGCCAATTCAGTCAACTGGAAGAAAGGGTATCAGTGATGGAAGATCAAATGAATGAAACGAAGTGAGAAGAGAAGTTTAGAGAAAAAAGAACAAAAAGAAATGAACAAAGACTCCAAGAAATATGGGACTATGTGAAAAGACCAAATCTACGTCTGATTGGTGTACCTGAAAGTGTTGGGGAGAATGGAACCAAGTTGGAAAACATGCTGCAGGAAAACTTCCCCAACCTAGCAAGGCAGGCCAACATTCAGATTCAGGAAATACAGAGAATGCCACAAAGATACTCCTCGAGAAGAGCAACTCCAAGACACATAATTGTCAGATTCACCAAAGTTGAAATGAAGGAAAAAATGTTAAGGGCAGCCAGAGAGAAAGGTCGGGTTACCCACAAAGGGAAGTCCATCAGACTAACAGCTGATCTCTCAGCAGAAACTCTACAAGCCAGAAGACAGTGGGGGCCAATATTCAACATTCTTAAAGAAAAGAATTTTCAACCTAGAATTTCATATCCAGCCAAACTAAGCTTCATAAGTGAAGGAGAAATAAAATACTTTACAGACAAGCAAATGCTGAGAGATTTTGTCATCACCAGGCCTGCCCTACAACAGCTCCTGAAGGAAGCACTAAACATGGAAAGGAACAACCGGTACCAGCCACTGCAAAAACATGCCAAATTGTAAAGACCATCGAGGCTAGGAAGAAACTGCATCAACTAATGAGCAAAATAACCAGCTAGCATCATAATGACAGGATCGAATTCACACATAACAATATTAACCTTAAATGTAAATGGGCTAAATGCTCCAATTAAAAGACCCAGTGGCAAACTGGATAAAGAGTCAAGACCCATCAGTGTTCTGTACTCAGGAAATCCATCTCATGTGCAGAGACACACATAGGCTCAAAATAAAGGGATGGAGGAAGATCTACCAAGCAAATGGAAAACAAAAAATGTCAGGGTTTGCAATGCTAGTCTCTGATAAAACAGACTTTAAACAGACAAAGATAAAAAAAGACAAGGGCATTACATAATGGTAAAGGGATCAATTCAACAAGAAGAGCTAACTATCCTAAATATATATGCCCCCAATACAGGAGCACCCAGATTCATAAAGCAAGTCCTTAGAGACCTACAAAGAGACTTAGACTCCCACACAATAATAATGGGAGACTTTAACACCCCACTGTCAATATTAGACAGATCAATGAGACAGAAAGTTAACAAGGATATCCAGGAATTGAACTCAGCTCTGCACCAAGCGGACCTAATAGACATCTACAGAACTCTCCACCCCAAATCAACAGAATATATATTCTTCTCAGCACCACACCACACTTATTCCAAAATTGACCACATAGTTGGAAGTAAAGCACTCCTCAGCAAATGTAAAAGAACAGAAATTATAACAAACTGTCTCTCAGACCACAGTGCAATCAAACTAGAATTCAGGATTAAGAAACTCACTCCAAACCGCTCAACTACATGGAAACTGAACAACCTGCTCCTGAATGACTACTGGGTACATAAGGAAATGAAGGGAGAAATAAAGATGTTCTTTGAAACCAACGAGAACAAAGATACAACATACCAGAATCTCTGGGACACATTTAAAGCAGTGTGTAGAGCGAAATTTATAGCACTAAATGCCCACAAGGGAAAGCAGGAAAGATCTAAAATTGACACCCTAACTTCACAATTAAAAGAACTAGAAAAGCAAAAGCAAACACATTCAAAAGCTAGCAGAAGGCAAGAAATAACTAAGATCAGAGCAGAACTGAAGGAGATAGAGTCAAAAAAACCCTTCAAAAAATCAATGAATCCAGGAGCTGGTTTTTTGAAAAGATCAACAAAATTGATAGACCGCTAGCAAGACTAATAAAGAAGAAAAGACAAGAATCAAATAGATGCAATAAAAAATGATAAAGGGGATATCACCACCAATCCCACAGAAATACAAACTACCATCAGAGAATACTATAAACACCTCTATGCAAATAAACTAGAAAATCTAGAAGAAATGGATAAATTCCTCGATACATACACCCTCCCAAGACTAAACCAGGAAGAAGTTGAATCTCTGAATAGACCAATAAGAGGCTCTGAAATTGAGGCAATAATTAATAGCTTACCAACCAAAAAAAGTCCAGGACCAGATGGATTCACAGCCGAATTCTACCAGAGGTACACGGAGGATCTGGTACCATTCCTTCTGAAACTATTCTAATCAATAGAAAAAGAGGGAATCCTCCCTAACTCATTTTATGAGGCCAGCATCATCCTGATTCCAAAGCCAGGCAGAGACACAACAAAAAAAGAGAATTTTAGACCAATATCCCTGATGAACATCGTTGCAAAAATCCTCAATAAAATACTGGCAAACCAAATCCAGCAACACATCAAAAAGTTTATCCACCATGATCAAGTGGTCTTCATCCCTGGGATGCAACGCTGGTTCAACATACACAAATCAATCAATGTAATCCAGCATATAAACAGAACCAATGACAAAAACCACATGATTATCTCAAGAGATGCAGAAAAGGCCTTTGACAAAATTCAACAGCCCTTCAGGCTAAAAACTCTCAATAAATTAGGTATTGATGGGACGTATCTCAAAATAATAAGAGCTATTTATGACAAACCCATAACCAATATCATACTGAATGGGCAAAAACTGGAAGCATTCCCTTTGAAAACTGGCACAAGACAGGGATGCCCTGTCTCACCACTCCTATTCAACACAGTGTTGGAAGTTCTAGCCAGGACAATCAGGCAGGAGAAGGAAATAAAGGGTATTCAATTAGGAAAAGAGGAAGTCAAATTGTCCCTGTTTGCAGATGACATGATTGTATATCTAGAAAACCCCATCGTCTCAGCCCAAAATCTCCTTAAGCTGATAAGCAACTTCAGCAAAGTCTCAAGATACAAAATCAATGTGCAAAAATCACAAGCATTCTTATACACCAATAACAGACAAACAGAGAGCCAAATCATGAGTGAACTCCCATTCACAATTGCTTCAAAGAGAATAAAATACCTAGGAATACAACTTACAAGGGATGTGAAGGACCTCTTCAAGGAGAACTACAATCCATTGCTCAACGAAATAAAACAGGACACAAACAAATGGAAGAACATTCCATGCTCATGGATAGGAAGAATCAATATCGTGAAAATGGCCATACTGCCCGAGGTAATTTATGGATTCAATGCCATCCCCATCAAGCTACCAATGACTTTCTTCACAGAATTGGAAAAAACTACTTTAAGGTTCATATGGAACCAAAAAAGAGCCCGCATTGCCAAGTCAATCCTAAGCCAAAAGAACAAAGCTGGAGGCATCATGCTACCTGACTTCAAACTATACTACAAGGCTACAGTAACCAAAACAGCATGGTACTGGTACCAAAACAGAGATATAGACCAATGGAACAGAACAGAGCCCTCAGAAATAATGCCAGACATCTACAACTATCTGATCTTTGACAAACCTGACAAAAAGAAGAAATGGGGAAAGGATTCCCTATTTAATAAATGGTGCTGGGAAAACTGGCTAGCCATATGTAGAAAGCTGAAACTGGATCCCTTCCTTACATCTTATACAAAAATTAATTCAAGATGGATTAAAGACTTAAATGTCAGACCTAAAACCATAAAAACCCTAGAAGAAAACCTAGGCAATACCATTCAGGACATAGGCATGGGCAAGGACTTCATGTCTAAAACACCAAAAGCAATGGCAACAAAAGCCAAAATTGACAAATGGGATCTAAATAAACTAAAGAGCTTCTGCACAGCAAAAGAAGCTACCATCGGAGTGAACAGGCAACCTACAGAATGGGAGAAAATTTTTGCAATCTACCCATCTGACAAAGGGCTAATATCCAGAATCTACAAAGAACCCAAACAAATTTACAGGAAGAAAACAACCCCATCAACAAGTGGGTGAAGGATATGAACAGATACTTCTCAAAAGAAGACATTTATGCAGCCAACAGACACATGAAAAAATGCTCATCATCACTGGCCATCAGAGAAATGCAAATCAAATCCACAGTGAGGTACCATCTCACACCAGTTAGAAAGGTGATCATTAAAAAGTCAGGAAACAACAGGTGCTGGAGAGGATGTGGAGAAATAGGAACACTTTTACACTGTTGGTGGGACTGTAAGCTAGTTCAACCATTGTGGAAGTCAGTGTGGCAATTCCTCAGGGATCTAGAACTAGAAATACCATTTGACCCAGCCATCCCATTACTGGGTATATACCCAAAGGATTATAAATCATGCTGCTATAAAGACAGATGCACACGTATGTTTATTGCAGCACTATTCACAATAGCAAAGACTTGGAACCAACCCAAATGTCCAACAATGATAGACTGGATTAAGAAAATGTGGCACATATACACCATGGAATACTATGCAGCCATAAAAAAGGATGAGTTCCTGTCCTTTGTAGGGACATGGATGAAACTGGAAACCATCATTCTCAGCAAACTATCACAAGGACAAAAAACCAAACACCGCATGTTCTCACTCATAGGTGGGAATTGAACAGTGAGAACACTTGGACACAGGAAGGGGAACATCACACACTGGGGCCTGTCGTGGGGTAGTGGGGATGGGGGAGGGATAGCATTAGGAGATATACCTAATGTAAATGATGAGTTAATGGGTGCAGCACACCAACATGGCACATGTATACATATGTAACAAACCTGCACACGTTGTGCACCTGTACCCTAAAACTTAAAGTATAATAATAATAAACATATTATCATTTAGGAGATTCAAGGGAAGCTTTCAGCAGAAGGGAAATTTCTTTAAATACTTAAAAAATCAGCCAAAAATTGTTGTGTGTGTGTGTGTGTGTGTGCGTGCATGCACATGCACATAAAAGGCATTCTCAGAGAGGAAACAGCATGTGGGAAGGCTTGGAAACAGAGGTTGAAATATCTGAAACAAACGCGAGAGCTGGGTAGGGTGGATTCATGCCCGTAGTCCCAGCACCTATGGAGGCTGAGGCAGGAGGGTTTCTTGAGCCCTGGAGCTCGAGGCTGCAGGGAGTCATGATGGTACTACTGTACTCCAGCCTGGTGACAGAGGGAAACAGTGACTCAAATTAAAAAAAAAAAGAAGGAAAGAAAAAATAAATGAAGAAAGAAATTTGTCTGGCTAGAGCACAGACGTTGGGGAACTAGAGAGGGTCATAGAATGAGACCAAGCAGGAAAAATAGAAAGGACTGGATCATGCAGGACCTTGCAGGCCAGGCTAAGGAGTTCAGATGACCCTAGGAACAATGGGAAAATATTGAAGGGTATTAGGCAGAGAAATGGCATGATCTAATTCACTTTATTGCTCATTCAAAGGAAGGCAATTTGAAAGTTATAAACTAGGGACAGACAAATTCAAGACCAGAAAATAAGTTACCAAAAATGCAGAAGTCAGGGGAAATAAGGCCATCAGGGATTAACTAAGCTGTTATTAAACAAGTTTTGATAGATGGAGAGAGTCAGAGAATAAGCAAAGGAGACAAAGGGAAAAGGATTGAAGAGAGACTCCAAACAAAAGATGGAAGATCAAGACAGAGCCTCACAGGGAGAAAGAAAAGGAGTGCTGAGTGGTTGTCCCAAGTGCCTTGCTTTTAAGAGAGAGGAAAATTAGTTTGTCAAAAACAGTCCAGTTGTCATCATGAACCAATTACAGATTTACACCAAGATGAATGCATTTGATTTAGACTATGTTTTTGAAGTTAAAAAATAGCTCTCTCTAACCTACCTCATTCTCTCCATTGAATAGATTGTTCTCTGCAAACATATACAGATGCACACACATTACATACTATCCAGAAGACAGCTGGGGAAGTGATTTCAGTTTTGTCATATTTAAATAGCTATGACATTTGGTTTTGTTAGTTTTTCTTCTTGTTTCCATTCTACTGGCAGAGGTTGTAGTGGAAGAAGAAACCTTAGATTTATTTAGTGCTTGGATTGAATCTTGAGTTTCCCCACTTACTAGCTGTGCCTCCTTGGATAAATTATTTCATCTCTCTATGCCTTAATTTCATCCTATCTTAAAAGGAAATAAGACTATCATCTTGTATCAATTAACTATTGCTGTACAGCAAACCACCTCCCAAAGTCAGTGGCTTAAAATAACAAACACTTGTTAGTTCATAGTTCTGCTCTGGCTCAGCTGTTTTGGGCATGGCTTACTCAAGTGTTTATGGCCAACCGAGGGTTGACTGGGGGTTGGTTTCCTAATCTTGCCTGGGCTGTCTTACAGGTTTGGGCTTCAGTCACAATGGCTCATCTATAGCCCATCTCTCATTCATCCTCCAAAAAGAGGGCCTGGGCTTGTTCTCATGGTGGCTACATGGAAGTATGCTAGACCTCCTACAGGTTTAGGCTCAGAACTGGCAGAATGTCACTTCTGCTGCATTCTATTAAAAACACGTCACAAGGCTAGCCCAGATTCAAGTGGGTGTAGAAATAGACTATTCTACTTGATGGTAAGAGCCACAAAGGCACACTACAAAAGGCATGGATATGTGGAGTGGGGGAAAAATAATGACAATTTTTGAAGCCTTCCAAACTCTTACCCTGCATTACTGTGAGAGTTTGATGACACCATCTTGAAGGTTCCTAGAACAGTGCCTCACTCACAGATGCTCCATACCTGTTAATTTGTCCCTTTCTATATATACTAACAGCATGACCAGAAACACTGTAGATCATCCATTGCACATTGCAGTAGGAAGAGGTGATAGAAACAGAACAGATAAAGTTATTAATACATGCCTCAGCATTACTTACGCTTGTTTCAATAGGCAAGTGTTTTTTAAAAAGATTTTCAAAAGAGGAAAATTACAGGCCTTGCTTTTAGAAAATGTAGGCAATGTGGTTTCTCTCTTGCTCTTCTTTCTCTTTCTCCTTCCCTAAGAATACCCTCAGAATGATAGGACTTCACCTTATCTTCTCTAGAGGAACAATGCGTTATTTTGGTCTGCCTTTGATCACTGGTGATTCACTTTAAAGGCAGGGCTGCTGGAAAAACGCAGAAAGCAGAGTTGCAATAAGAAAAACGACTATGTAAAAATGGCTTCCTCTGGCTCTGTCCTTGATTCCTGGGAGTTTTTTGAGTCACTTCTTAATTCTTTTTTTTTTTTTTTTTTTGAGACAGAGTCTCGTTCTGTCGCCCAGGCTGGAGTGCAGTGGCGCCATCTCGGCTCACTGCAAGCTCCGCCTCCCAGGTTCCCGCCATTCTCTTGCCTCAGCCTCCTGAGTAGCTGGGACTACAGGCGCCCGCCACCACGCCCGGCTAATTTTTTGTATTTTTAGTAGAGACAGGGTTTCCCCGTGTTAGCCAGGATGGTCTCGATCTCCTGATCTCATGATCCGCCCGTCTCGGCCTCCCAAAGTGCTGGGATTACAGGCGTGAGCCACCGCTCCCAGCCGAGTCACTTCTTAATTCTCTTGCCTGTAGAGAACCTGCTAGTCTGAGAAGGGTAGGCAGAGTACTGTTTCTCTGGCAGTTCTCATCAATATTCTCTCTGAGTTCTGCCAGGAGTTAACTGGCGAGTGTATTCCTGTGTAATTTGCCAAGGAGATGGTTGACTTACATATGACAAGCAGATACAGTAGGGCTTTTACTTCAGAAGTTAAGCAAAAATAATGGATTAAGTTAAATTACCATCCTAGTGATTTTACAGAATGAAACAAAAACCTGCAAATTATGCACAGCCTTTGACTCAACTATTCTAATTTTACCCTAAGGTAACAAACAGAAAAGTTGTCTTTTTTAAGAACAAAGTTTTAATTTGTGACAATTTTAGATTTATGGAAAAGTTGGGAAGAGAGTACAGAGAGTACCCATATACTTTTCATCCAGTTTCCCATAATGTAAACAGAATACATTGCATTGGAACATTTGTCATAATTAAGAAGCCAACATTGGTATATTACTATTAAGCAGGCTCCAGACTGTATTTGGATTTAACCAGTTTTCCCACGAATGTCTTTTCTTCTGTTCTGGGATCCAGTCTAGGGGATCACATTGCATTTACTTTTCATGTCTTCTTGGTATCCTCTGGTCTCCAGCAGTTTCTCAGTCTTTCCTTGTTTATAATGATACTACAGTTTTGCGGAGGGCTAGTGAGATTTTATAGAATGTCCCTCAATTTGGGTTGGTTTCTTATGATTTCTTCCCTCCACCAAGAATAGCCTCAGAATGACAGGACTTCACCTTCTCTTCTATAGAGAAATAATGTGTTACTTTGGTCTGCTTTGATCACCGGTGATTCACTTTAAGGGCAATTCTGCTGGAAACCCCAGAGGGTTAACCCACAGGAGCCCCTTGGTTGGGAATTTACTTCCATCTGTAGGCTAGAGAAAAGGTCAGCTCCCATTGACATCAACGGAAAGGCAGGCCTATGGACTGTGCTCCCAGGCTACCAACAGCAGAGAGTTGTTTCTGGAGAAATAAGTCTACATTGATTTAAAGGAACAGATGTAAAGCAAGAATAGGATTTTCCTCAGTGGATCCTATCCTCCCCAATAGGACCCACTCTCACCATCTCTCTCCCTTCCCTTCCTTTCCCTTCCCTTCCCTTCCTTTCCCTTCCCTTCCCTTCCCTTCCCTTCCCTTCCCCTCCCCCTCCCCTCCCCTCCCCCCTCCCCCTCCCCTTCCCTCCCGCTCCCCTTCCCTTCCCTTCCCCTCCCCCTCCCCTCCCCTCCCCCCTCCCCCTCCCCTCCCCTTTCCTCCCGCTCCCCTTCCCTCCCCACCCTTCCCTCCCCTCCCCCTCCCCTCCCTCCTCCTCCCCCTCCCCTCCCCCTCTCCTCCCCTCCACCCTCCCTCCATCACCCTCCCTCCCCCTCCCCTCCCCTCCCCTCTCCTCCCCTCTCCTCCACTCTCCTCCCCTCCCCCTCCCCTCCCCCCTCCCTCCCCTCCCTCCCCCTCCCTCCCCTTCCTTCCCCCTCCCCTCCCCTCCCCTCCCTCCCCCTTCATCCCCTCCCTGCCCCTCCTTCTCCCTCCCCTCCCCTCCCTTCCCCTCCCTTCCTCTCTTTTCCCCTTCCTTCCCTTCCCTTCTCTTGCCTTCCCTTCCTTTCCTGGCCCTTCTTTCACAGGGTCTCTCTGTCACCCAGGCTGAAGTGAAATGGTGTGATCTCGGCTCACTGCAACCTCTGCCTCCTGGGTTCAAGTGATTCTCCAGCCTCAGCCTCCCAAATAGGTAGGATTACAGGCATGCGTCACCATGCCTGGCTAATTTTTTTATTTTTTGTAGAGATGGGGTTTCTCCATGTTGCCCAGGCTAGTCTGGAACTCCTGACCTCAAGTGATCTGCCCGCCTCAGCCTCCCAAAGTGCTGAGATTACAGGTGTGAGCCACTGTGCCTGGCCCCACTTCTGTTTTCTTGATGATTCTTTAGGTTTGGCCAAATTAGACTAGGGTCTAATCAGGAGTACCTAATATAAACCATGCTCATGGAAGCATTGTGCACAACAGTAAAAAATTAGAAACAAATGCTCAACAGTAGGGGATTAAGTTAGGCATTTTTCTTGTTATATCCATATATTGGGATATTTTCTAGCTATTATAAATTGTGATGTAGATTAATATAGACATAAAAAGGCTGCTTGCCTAAGAATATATAGTAAGAATTCATTTAACAATTTAAAAATATCTATATGTAAATGTGGTTTAAAAACTCAGCATACTGCCTAACCTCAACCCTGTGAAGAAGACATTTTTATCCTGGTGCCTGCCCTGAAGTGTCCTGTGGCCTGGCCCACCCGTGTTATAGCAGTTTACTTTGTCTCCACAGGAGCCAAGGCCCATTGCTCCGCACAGATGAACCCTGTGACCTAGGAAGAAGTTTTCCCTTCCTGGGACAAACTGCACACATCAGAAAAATACTGCCCATCAGAAGGAGTACACAAAGACAATGGGGCTAGTGATGTCTTCTAAATTTATTGCAAGGAATAAACAAGATAACATATAACCAAATGACACATATGAAATTATTTAGCTCAAGGTAACTATAGCTGCTGAAGGTAACTATAGATGCTGAAGGTAACTATAGATGCTGAAGTTAACTATAGCTGCTGAAGGTAACTACAGATGCAGGCCAAGCCTGAAGAATCATCAAGAAAACAGAAGTGATGGGGAGAGTGGGTCCTATGGGGGAGGATAGAATCTGCTGAGGTAAATCCTGTTCTTGCTTTACATCTGTTCCTTTAAATCAATGTAGACTTATTTCTCCAGAAATAACTCTCTGCTATTGGTAGCCTGGGTGTGCAATCCAGAGGTTTTCCTTTCCATTGATGTCAAATGGGAGCTGACCTTATCTCTAGCCTATAGATGGAAGTAAATCCCCAACCTCCTGTGGGTTATCCCTCTAGGGTTAATTTCTATGCAGTGGTTTGCACTGGACAATGATCTCCTGAAGAACTAGGACAATATTTTGTCAACCCCAATACCTTGGGCGGTATTTAATAAAATTAACAACACCAGTCTTCTGTAACATTAAAGCCTCCCTGCATCCTTTTCATGTTCCTTTCCTCCTTTCACCTTTAAGCAGTTTGGAGTGCTCAAACTGCCTCATCCTCTCTTCTCCAAACTATTAAAACTGATCATTGAGAACTTTTCTCACCTCTGGGCCCTTATAAATGCTGTACCCTGTGCCTGGAGTGATCTTCCCTCTGGTCTTTGTGTGCTGACTCATTCTCATCTGATAGTTCTCTATTCAAATGCTCTCTCCTTAGAGAGGCCTTTTGACCATGCTATCCAAAGAGGCATTTCCCAGTGACTTCTTATATCATTAGACTTTTATTTCCCTCACAGAACTTATGCTAATCTACAGATGTTCTTTCTTTCACTATCTTTCTCTCCCACATTCTGCCCTCTACATGACTCCCAACCTGTTTGTCTCTCCTTCTTTGTTCATTTTGTGTCTCCATGACTTGAGTGATAACTCCATGAGGCAGAGACCTTACCTAGCTGGTCCATCATTGTATCCCTAACACCAGCTCAATATCTATTGAATGAATCCAGTGGAGGTAACTTACTCATTTCTCTAACTTTACTTTCCCTCTTCAACCCTCTCCCAGTTTAACATTAATCACACTTGCTGCTCAAAATTCTTTAATGTCTTCCCATGACCTCTTGCTGATGTGTCCAAATATTTAGATTTCACAGAGCAAACCTCAAAACACATTTCTTGGGTTGCTCTTGGCTCACAGGACTTTTATTCTATCAAGTAAGAATATTTTTTTTAAAATGGCAAAGCCTCATGAGAATTAATGACAAGAATGCAGTGACTAATATTAACATGAAAATATGAAGATATACTCTCAAAAAATTAATTTAGTTATATAAAATGCTTCCTGTTTTTCCTATTTTACCATGGATTATGGAAAATTCTGAATTACCACTCAGTATATTGGAATAAATATTTCATGGAATACAATAAAATCTCAAGTCAATCTTACAAGGTCCTTTGTATTTATGCCCCTGCCTGCTTGTTTGCCTCAGTTCTTGCTCCTTTTCCTTCTGTCTTTATGCCCCAGATACAGTGAATTATTTAATTGCTTGAGGTTTTTTGATTATGCCTTGTCTGTGCTTGACTTGGAGCCTTTGTCCATGCTGCTTCCTTGGCTGGAGAGCCTTTTTCTCTAACCTGCCTGATTAATTTCCACAGGTCGTAGTTTCTGCATTGTCTGCTTTTTGAGGTCTACCCTGACTCTTCTGATCACATATAGGTTTTCTTCCTCTTTATTTCCTCATGGGTTACCTCATTTTTGCAATAGCCACGTGGGGTTGAGGTTGTTTATTTCTTGTCCCCTAATTAAACATAAACCCAATGAAGAAAAAGACTATGTCTTTTCACGAGGTACTGCTGTGTAATGTTCTAGATGTTAGATATTGTTATGGTTTGAATGTGTCCTCTGAAATTTAATTTAATCCCCAAGGCAATAGCATCAGATGTGGGGCCTTTAGCAGATGATCAGGTCATGAAGGCTGGGATTAAAGCCTTTATGAAAGGGGTTTTACACTGAGTTTGGCCCTTTTTGCCCTCCCTTCTTTTCTACCATGTGAGGACACTGCGTTCATCCCCTCTGGAGAATGCAGTAACAAGGTGCTATCTTGGAAGCAAAGAGACCAGGCCCTCACCAAATACTAAAACTGCTGATGCCTTGATCTTGGACTTCCCAGCCTCCAGAACTGTGAGAAATAAATTTCTATTGTTTATAAAGTACCTAGCCTATGGCATTTTGTTAAAGCAACACAAATAAACTAAGAGAGAGAACAGGAAAAAGCATGAGAATTGTAGATTGTTTAGGTTTCCCTCTGCCACCGTAGGTGGGGATGAGAGTGCATCCTGCCCCTGGTGACGTTCAAGGGGAAGAAGACCAAATGGAATTGAGGGTGTCTTATGCTCTAAACCTTCTGGAGAGAGACTTTTTTTCTTCTTGCTGATAGACTGATACTCTTGATATAGCCAATGTAGGGTGGGGATCTAGGACAAAGGGTGTTGTAGGAATCTGCACTGGCACTGAAGGGGCACAAGGAGAACTTGGGACTCAGTTGACTAGTGAAAGAGACCAGACAGAAACTTGGGCTTAATCTCCAAACTGCTATTAAGAGTTATACATTTGCCTAGAACATCTTTATTTCATATACATCTCATGTACTTTTAATATACTGAGGGCATTAGAAACAGGTAGCTGGAAAGGACTGAGCATTTTTAGGACTGAGGGAATGGTGGCTTTAAAACATCTGAAAATCATTTGATATTCCTCTCACCAAGGGGTGGGTCTATGTTTCCTCCCCTTGAATCTAGGCTGATCTTAGTGATGGGTTGATTTCTAAATAATTTAATCATCTTTTGGAAAGAGTATTTATAAAACATTTTTTGATTTCTTAATCAGTAACTCAGAATATATTTGAACTTCCTCTTAACAATTCAGGTCACCATAAACATCACTTACTTTGCCCTCTGTGACTGCTCTGTGTTTTCTGCATGGTCATTTCTGATTTTTACAGAATGTGATTTTAAGATCTGCAATGATGTTGTTTTCCTCTCATTTTCTCTTTGAATTCTTTAGGTTTTCTTTACATGACTTTTTTATTATCTTACAATTATCTCATGAATTCTAGTAAAAGTCTTAATAAGTTTTTTAGGTAACTTGTTTTCCTCTGTGAGTTTCAACAAAGGAAACTATTTAATTTCAGTTTGAATTCAAAGCTATTTCTCCAACCTTCACATTTTGTGTCCTCCAAGTTGTTTTCTGCTTCTATTTCAGATACCAGTAAAGATGTCATCTGGCCAATTTGTGTGAAAAAAGAGAATAATTCTCATCCAAACCGCCTGTCTCTGGAAATAAGAAAAGCTCTGAGGGTCTCCAAAGTTACCAGAGGAAGGCTGAATTTTATGGTGATTGATAATATTTCCAAGCTTATGGAGAAAAAAATATCATTAGTCTTTTCCATGGTAGAAAAGAGTAAAGCCTGTAACAAAAAAAGTGATACAGTGGATGGGATGATGAGACCCTTGAAATAAGCAAGGATGGACCAGAAACTGGTAACACTCACCCATGGAATTTCATTATGAAGTCGTGGCAAGGGCCAAGCCGACCTGGATTTGAAACCCATCTCTTCAACGATGTAGATTTTGACAACATATTTGATTTCTCTGGGCCTCAGTTTGTTATCTGCACAAAAGGGAGATATGAGTGGTTACGTTATTGGATTGTCATGAACATTAAATAGGATAATGTCAAATCATTCAGCCAAGTTTCTAGCATATAGTACAGGTTCAAATATTATCTTTTTTTTCCCACCAACCTCTTTTCCAGGAAAATGCAAAGCTACTCTTTAGCCAAATTTTAAAACAGGGGATATTTATTTTGGGAATCATTAATACCCATCTGCCCCTTTTTTGGTCCATTGGACATATTGAAATGAATGATTAATACTTATCACTTCATGGTGTACACATTGTTTTGTTTCTTATATCCAGAGTCTAGTCCTCAACTCTAACCAAAGTAAAGGAAACTGGAAAGACACACGCTTTTTCAGTCATTAATAGAAAGTTGTCCAGGTAAGTTTCTGATGGTATATCAGTTAGAAATAATATTTAGCTATTTGTAATAAAAAGCTGAAAACAGTAGCTTGAATCAATGGAAGACTTTATTTTTCTCCTAATACAGCTGACAATAATGTTGTTGCCTTTATGATATCAAAGCCCCAGGTTCCTTTTATCTTTCTGCTTAACCTGCCTTGGCAAATGCTTGCTGCTTCATAGTCACATGATGGCTGACTTACTGTAACCTTCAGGTAGAAAGAAAGGAAGAGGTAAAGAGATAAAGGTACATCCCAGCTGATTCAGTATCTCCTTCTCTTTGAAAACTCTCACAGAAACTGCCCTATAACTTCTACTGACATCTCATCTCAATGGCTAGATCAGTGCTATATAACAAAACTTTCTGCAATGATAGAAATGTTCTATATCTGAACTATCCAAGATGTTAGCTACTAGCCACTTATGACTGTTTAGCATTTAAAATGTCACTTGTGGAACTGACAAAATCAACTTTTAATTTTACTTGATTTTAATAAATTTAAATTTAAATAGATACATGTGTCTAGTGGCTACCACAATAAATAGTGCAGGGCTAGACCTTAATCACATCACTACCCCATCTGCAAGAAAAGCTG